>NC_000002.12:23873391-24024906 GCF_000001405.40 Homo sapiens | reverse complement strand
GTGAGTAGATCCTCCCCGTCAGTGGGGTCGGTGTTCTGGTAGGGGAAGGACCAGGTCAGAGACCTGCTCAGTATTGCCCGTGGGAGGGAAGAGCAGAAGACTCCTAGGCTTCCACCCAGAGGGAACGATGGTGTCATTCACCAAGACAGGGACACAGAAGGAGGAGCCAGTTAGGGGGACAAGATGAGTTCCATTGAGGCTCATCGAGACTGAGTGCCAGGCTTGTGGGCTACTAGGTGGAAATGTCCACATGCCAGTGATATGCGGCTGTGGAAGTTGAGGGAAGCACAGGCTGGAGGGGCAGCTCTAGCAGTCACCAGGCACAAGGAGTGCCTGAGTTGGGTCAGGCTAGCAGAAGAGGTACCAAGGGGGCTTTGGAGAGCAAAAGCAATAGGAGATCAAGGAGTGAGCCCTCACATACCACAGTCTACCAGGTGATCAAAGGAAGAAGACTGAGAAGGGGTGGCCAGAGTGGGAGAAGAAAATCCAGGAGAAAAGGGTGACCCTGAGCTAAGGAAAGAGGTCCCAGAGGCAGGACTGTGTGACACAGCAGGGATGTCTGCAGGCTGGTGTTAGTCATTCCCCCAGCAGCCCACACTGTGCCTCGCTGGCTGCAGGGGGCGTGCGGGGCTTACCTCCGAAGGCTCAGCCGGCTGGAGGCGTCCCGACTGGGTGTCTTTGGAGTGGAGCCGACCATGAGGATGCAGAGCCCAGCAAGGATCATGCAGGTGGGCACGGCGCCAATGAGGACTTTGAGGGTGACCACCACCTCCTCTGCTTGCTTGCAGACCCCTGCCTTATACCCCGAGAACCTGGAGAAACATCAGCCAGCCATTAGGGCAGGGCCTGCTGAGCCTGGCACCCTGGGTGGAGGGACTCGACACCTCACCCCACCCCACCCCCTCCTGAAACGTGGACTTCATTTCCTGGTCAGATCAGGAGAGGAGTGTCAAGGTGACAGGCTGACCTGGGAGAGTTTAGAGGGAACTGAGAATAGGGGAGCTGGCCCTCTCAGTCTCATGCACAGAGAAACCTGGGGAAGTGGTTCCCCACACTCTCCAAAGAGTAGCGCTTAGGCCCCAGGCTCATGGATGCCCTGAGCTTGGTAGGTGAGGGGCTTTGCCCTCTTCCTGCCCACTGGTCCTTGGTGCCTCTGCTGTATCCTAACCCTGGGACTCACTCCAGACTGAGGGTGGAGATGCCCAGGGCACATGCGCCAGACAGCTTGGTGAAGAAGACGTAGGAGGAGTAGAAGATGGTCTCCAGGCCTGGCCCGTGACGGTGCTGCAGCTGAAAGTCATCCACCACGTCTGGCAGCATGGACCTGCGGCGGGGGTGTGGAGTTAGCCCTCCTAGCCCCTTGGCCACCAGCAGCCTGTGAATTCTCTGGGGACGGAGGCCAAAGTGGATTCATCCCTGAGTTCTGTGCCCAGGACCAGACTGGCCACCAGAGAAGCAGATGGCCTGTGTGCTCGTACCCCCCGCCAGCCCCCTGCCGGCCCCCCGCCATTCCTACTGCCTGATGTCCTCTCAGGAGGGCTCTGAGGATGGAGCTGGTGGCCTCCATCTCCTGCACAGGCTGGGTGCAGGGGGCCTGGGACGGCAGGTTTACATGAAGGAGGTGACACCCACTGTGGACACACGTGAGGCCCCCACACCCAGCCTACCAGGGTAGCAGCAAGGACACAGCAATGCTCACGCCAGATACAAAGGCCACGACATATGCCACAGGTGCTGTGGGCACAGCAGCCAGCAAGATCGCAAAGGGCACCATCGCCTGGGGAGACACACACACCAGCTGTCCCGCCACCTGCTTCTTCGTGGGGCCTGCTCCTTCACACACGACTCGACTGACGACCCCCATGCCTTGCCCTGTGCTAGGCCCTAAAGACTCAAGGGAACACAGATCCACCCCTGCTGGCCCCAGGAGGCTCAGGCACCAAGGTCACCTCGCTCACCTCTCCCCTCCGGCCACCCCCAATCCTTGATTCCCGCCTCACTCACAAAGATCCCAAAGGCTGACGTCTTCTTCCCAAAGCGCTGGAGAACCCACTCCCACAGCGGGGTGCTCAGCACGGCTGAGACCTGTGAGCAGACAGCATCGTCACGCCAGGGCCGTGCTGCCAGCGCCTTTGCCTGGGACCCCAAGGCCTTGGCTTTTAGATTGGATGCCTGACCTTGGCCTTGCCCCTGGTTCAAACCGGTGGCTATGAATGTTGTAATCCTGGCCCCAATTCTACCCTCTGCTGGAATGCAGGTGACCAAGACCAAAGCAAAGTCCAAAATGTTGACCACCAGAACTCTGGCCATATGTGTCACATCAAGGACCACACATGTCCCCAGCTCAGGGCCCCAAGTGACCTAGCCTCCACCACCCCAGGCCCCCTCACCAGGACAGTTAGTACCAGGCCCTGGACGTGGTCGTGTAGCTGGGAGGCATGTGTACAGAACAGGACCAGGTAGCTCTGCTCCACCTGAGGAGATGGACAGGAAGTGGGTATGTGCAGGGCATGGCAGGAGCTCAGAAGTCAAGGGCAAGGACAGGGTCTGGAGTCTGGCATCTCCATTGGGACCTTGGCTTGCTGCTACCATCATACAGTCCCTTCCCCCACAAAGGACACTTATCCCCAACACAGATACAAACACCACTCCTAGGCCACCCTCATCACCTGCTCAGCTGTGATCAGGTGGACTTGACTACACTTCAGGTAATGTGAGAGGAAACCGCCCAGACATTGTCAGCCTCCTAGTGCCCAGGCCCTGGCCCTCCATTCCCACAAGCCCTACCGGGATCTCCCTCCCGGCACCAGCCCCTCTGAGCCATGTGCCAGCCGCAGGTTTCTCCCTATAAAACTCAAGCCAAGACTGCACCCTGAACCTATGCAAGGTCAGCATGGCCAGCACCAAGCCTGTCGGGGGCAGCTGGCCAGAGGTACCTGAACAGCAGCAGAGATGAACAGGAAGGAGATCACCAGCTTCAGGTAGGGTGGGTGCCGGGTAGTGAGGCTCAGCCCAGCCAGGAAACTCAAGCCTGGGCCTGAGGCTGGGGCAGAGGGGTCTGCAACGCAGAAGCGTGTCACCTTGGCTTCGCAGAGTTCAAAAGCAAAACCTGCCCCCAAGCAGAGCCCTGCCCCCAGCTTCTGCTTCCCTCCTCACCAAACCCCATACCTGGCCGCTCCTTCACCCCTAGGCACAGTAAACTGATGCACACGGGGTAAGTCACTACAACCACGGCAGCCGCAATGCAGTAGAGATGGGCCTGTGGGACAGGACAGGACTGGGATGGGTGATGTCTTCAACCCCTGGAGGTGGTGACACCGGAGGGGCAGGGCAGTACTGCCTCCCAGTGGGAGCGGAGGGAGGCACAACCCAAGCCCAGGACGCTGGGTCCCCACCTCCCAATCACCCCACAGGACAGCATGCTCTCCGGGCCCGGGCTGGTCCTTCCACACACCCCCTCTGCTGACCCTGTGTTCCCTGCATGGCAAAGAGGACACATGCCCCAGGAGCCAAAGTGCTCCTTCCCACATTCTATGAAGCAAACATTGACTGCTGCTGCCTTCCGCATGCCAGGCCCTGAGGCTCCAATGATGAATAAGTGAGCCCTGTCCATCCACAGGGCTCAGAGTGTGGGGAGGAAGACAGATCCAGGAGCAGGTGGTTACAGCACGGTGAGATGCATGGTGACTCAGATTAATGGAGGAAGCAGGGCCGGGCGCGGTGGCTCATGCCTGTCATCCTAGCACTTTGGGAGGCCAAGGTGGGTGGATCATTTGAGGTCAGGAGTTCCAGACCAGCCTGGCCAACATCGTGAAACCCCATCTCTACTAAAAATACAAACATTTAGCTGGGTGTGGTGGCGGGTGCCTGTCATCCTAGCTACTCAGGAGGCTGAGGCAGGAGAATCACTTGAACTGGGGAGATGGAGGTTGCAGTGAGCCGAGATCACAGTACTGCACTCCAGCCTAAGCGACAGAGCGAGACTCTCATCTCAAAAGGAAAAATAAAAAATAAAAATAAAAAATTAATATAGGAAGCAGGGACAGGCACGGTGGCTCATGCCTGTCATTCCAGCTCTTTGGGAAGCTGAGGCAGGTGGATCCCTTGAACCCAGGAGTTCAAGACCAGCCTGGGCAACATGGCAAAACCCCATATCTACCAAAGAAAATACAAAAATTAGCCAGGTGTGGTGGTGTGCATGCACCTGCAGTCCCAGCTACTAGGGAGGCTGAGGTGGCAGAATCGCTTGAGTCTGGGAGGTCGAGGTTGCTGTGAGCTGTGATTGCACCATTGCACTCCAGCCTGGGTGGCAGAGTAAGACCCTGCCTCTGTATATATAGGAAGCAGGACAGTGCTACTTGTCATTCAGAGAAGAATACATATGCATTAAAATGCCTATAAAGACATGCACGAGAGTCACAGCCAGTTCGGGACAGAGGCTGCCTCTGGGGAGGGGAGGAGAGGGAGGGCGCAGGGTGGGGCAGGGCACTCATCCTGTGCAACCGCCCTGGGCCTCATGCTCTGGAGGGCACTGCCTCTGGGGTTCAATGCTCTGCTGTTGCTGTCTTGAGATTCTTAATAATTTTATAATGGATTTCAATTTTGTAAGTGAAATCTGATGGGACAGTGGGTTGTGAGCCACCAAGAGCATCCAGTCTCTGCTCACATGAGGCTCTGCCCCCTGGGCATGGGTTCTCAGCCTCCTGCTCCCCACTCCTTGATACTTTCCCTTCCCCAACCCTTGTGTCACATCAAGGACCACACATGTCCCCAGCTCAGGGCCCCAAGTGACCTAGCCTCCACCACCCCAGGCCCCCTCACCAGGACAGCTAGCACCAGGTCCTGGACGTGGTCGTGTAGCTGGGAGGCATGTGTACAGAACAGGGCCAGGTAGCTCTGCTCCACCTGAGGAGATGGCATTGGCATTGGAGAGAGGCATGGGAGGCCTGAATGGGGGCGCAGATGTGAGTGCAGGGAGAGTCAGTCTAGGATACAGCCTTCTGGCCCTTGGCCAGCAGCAGCGTGTGGATTCGGAGGGTGGGGGCCTCTCACCTATCCCAATCCAGGTGCTTAGTGGACACCTAGAGGGTGCCAGTGCTGGAGGCTGCAATCCCCTGGCTGGGGCAGTAGGTGCATTGGGAAAGGGGAGATTGACTTTCCAAGGCCCTTCATTTTCATTTTGCAGAGTACATAGGCAAGGTGATTGCCCAGGCTGGAGTGCAATGGCGTGATCCCTGCTCACTGCAACCTCTGCCTCCTGGGTTCAAGTGATTCTCCTGCCTCAGCCTCCCAAGTAGCTGGGATTACAGGTGCCTGCCACCATGCCCGGCTAATTTTTGTATTTTTAGTAATGATGGGGTTTCACCATGTTGGCCAGGCTGGTCTTGAACTCCTGACCTCAAATGATCCACCCACCTCGGCCCCTCAAAGTGCTGGGATTACAGGCGTGAGCCACCGCACCTGGCTGTAACATTTTCTTGAATGGGTGGTGGGCCACAGATATTACTGGTATTCTTCTCATACTATTGATGCTGAGACATTGGTGGGGGCAGAATCCCCGGGAGGGCTTGTTAACATAGAGATTGCTGGGCCCGGTCCCTAGAATTAGTGAATCAGAGGACTGAGGTAGGGCCTGAGGATCTACCTTTCTAACAAGGTTCCAGGTGTTGCTGATGCTGCTGGTCCAGGGACCACACTAAGATCTGTGCCTCTCTGCCTTTGTGTAAATCTGAAATATTAACTTAAAAACAAGCACAGGTCGAGCGCGGTGGCTCACGCCTGTAATCCCAGCACTTTGGGAGGCTGAGGCGGGCGGATTACCTGAGGTCAGGAATTTGAGACCAGCCTGGCCAACATGGCAAAACCCCATCTCTACTAAAAATACAAAAATTAGCCAGGCGTGGTGGCGCATGCCTGTAATCCCAGCTACTCAGGAGGCTGAGGCAGGAGAATGGCCTGAATCCGGGAGACGGAGGTTGCAGTGAGCCGAGATTGCGCCCCTGCACTCCAGCCTGGGCAACAGATCGAGATTCCGTCTCAAAAAAAAAAAAAAAAAAAGCACAAAAGGCCAACACAGCAGGTTTCAGAGCACACAGAGGAGAGGCCTACATGAAGGCTGCGGAGGGCAGCCCATGCCCAGTCCTGAAGGCGAGGGCCACCCATGCTCAAACTCCTTTTTTTTTTTTTTTTCCAGAAAAGGATTTTTTTTAATTCAAGTAACTGCAAATAGGAAACCAGAGGGGGAGCCCCAGGCTGGGATAAATCATGGCTACCCCTCCCCAACAGAACAGGGGGAGGAGGTGGCCCCTACACCCATTATGGTCGATTCGGGCCCCCTTGCTCACTCTGCTGCAGCATCCTAGAGGCAGGGCCCCACCTTCCCTGGGACTGGGGTAGTCGGTCACCCAGCCTGCATTGCCCCAGCCCCTCTTCCCCACAAAGAGTATCTTGGGGGAGGGGATCGTGGGCAGAACAGGAGGCAATGAGGATGAACATTGCTCAAACTCCTTTCAAAGGGCACCTGACCGCACAGGGAGGTGGCAGAAGGCAAGGATGGGATGCCGTGTAAGAGGCGGAGGCAGCAGTTGTGGGGTGGAGAGGGAGGTAGTGGCACGGGCCGGGGCATGGCAGTGGGGTGCAGGGTGGCTGGATGCATCCCAGAAGACTTTTGGCCTAAAAAATGGGCAGGATTCGGTCATAGGTTGGAGAGTTGAGAGAGGGGAGGAGAAGAAGAGGACAGTGCTGGAGGATGGTAATGTCATTTACTTAAGGAAAGGGGGACATGGAAAAAGAGAAGGTAAATGTGGTGGATAAAATAGAGGTGTGTCCGCCCAGTGCTGAAGGGACCCGCCGTGAAAGGGAAGGAAGGGGGCTTCCCCCTCTCATTTCACCATTTCATGCTGCGGGTTGGGGGCTCACCTGGTCAGGGCTGGGGGAGGGGGCATGGGTCATAGGAAGGGCTTTACCCAGGGCTCTGCGAGGACAGCAGACCCCTCTGCTGCCCCCTCCCCTAGCCTGTCCTGCGGCTTTCCCCACCCTCGCCCCTCCTCTGGGGCTGGCCTCCTCTGCTCCAGGTGGCTGGCCCAGTGTCTATTCTATTTTATGTCTAGAAGGAACCCAGAAGGAGGCAGGTTTAGCAGAGGACGTTAGATTTGGGGGCCATCTGCTCAACTGGAGGAGCAGGGAAGGAATGAGGGGGCACAGTGAGCCCCCTAAAAGACAACAAAGTGGTGTGGACGGGAGAACCAGCCCTAGAGGAAGGAGGTGACCCTGCAGAGGGGACCCCAGGTTGGGGGGCCTTGCCACCCAGTGCACTTACTGCATTCGGGGAGACAGTGACTGGCCCCGGGGTCGCAGTGGCCTCGCACCTGTGGGGTCTGTGGGCGCCGGACACGATGAGCCCGTGGACAGTGGCCCCCATCAGTGTTCCCGCCATCTCCACAGTCATCCCTGGAGACAGAGTGCCACTTAAGGTGACTGAGAGGGAGTGGGGTCCCAGGGGCAGTTGCCTCCCTGGAACCCGAAACCCACGGCTGCACTCACGGTAGGCGGTGGCCGAGTCCCGCTCCCTTGGGCAGGGAGTCAGCAGCATGGTGAGCGCTGTGTAGGGCACCTGGAAGAACTGGGGCGTCGGCAGAGCTTAGAACCGCCCCCAGCTTTGCCTGGTGACAGCGGGCGACCTCCCCCATCCTGGGTGTCACATCCCGACACCCACAGGCCAACGTGACATATCCCAGCTGGCCACCTGAAGTCGGAGCTAGGGTCCCAAAGGCAGGAGGGGGCAGCCAGTCCCGCGCAAGGCTGGCGAGTGCCAATGGCATGGTCCAGGCACAGGCGGGTGGGGAGGGCGGCAGCCCTGCCCCCACAGCACACTTCAGAGTGGCCATGGCCAGCAATGGGCTTCGCCAGAGCACAGGCCCAGGAAGGGGCCCTGCTTACCGTGGCCAGGGCCTGGAACAGGCAGTAGAAAGTCGTGTACCAGAGGCCTCGCAGGCTGGTGAAGGGGGGCAGGAACCACAGGAAGAAGTAGGCCAGGGCGATGAAGGGGGTGCAGCCCAGCACCCTGCGGAAGCACAGCCGAGGTGGAGCGGCCCCCCGACCCAGACAGGGGAACACAAAGGGCCCAGCCTGGAGGAACCCCACCCCTTCTCTGCCCCTTGAGAATCCCTAGGCTGGGGCGCCCTGGGTGGGAGCCAGGAGCAGGGGAGAAGTGGCCGATGGGTCATGGAGGCAGTGGGGAATGGGCGGCCACTCCTCGTGGGAGCTCCAGCTGCACTCTCAGCGCTGCTGGTGCCCTTCCCTGTGTGGACATTGGGACACTGAGCTGTACTTCCTCCGTGAGGCCTCGCATGGCCTTCAGCCCAGCCTTCCCACACTCAGTGCCCCAGGCCAGGCCTGGGAGTCTTGGAGGCTTCATCCAGCCCCGTGCCATCTGGGGAGGGAGAGTCCCCAAGAATGTCTCTGAACTCCTTATCACTCACAGTCAGTCCCCAGTGCACCTGCGATATTATCCAGTCTTGTCTCCTAACCACCCAGTGGGTTTCTGCTAGGAAATAGGGCTGTGACAAACAGTGACCTCAGGGCCAGGACCAGGTGCCTGGATCCTAAGGACTGAGCGGTTGCTCACCAAGGCATGAGCCGTCCAGACCCTGTCCTCTGGCTCCTGTTGATGAAGAACCCAGCCACAGGGTCAGCAGCCGCCCCAGACACTTTTCCCCCAAACAGAACAAGTGACACCTGGGCGGCAGGGATCTGAAACAGACAGGGGAGGGGATAGAGAGCTGAGGCCCAGCAGCAGCAGAGAGCCCATCCAGGCCTGCTTGCCATCAAGAGGGAGGCCTGGGAACCGGGACCGGAGGGCAGAGCCACAGTGTCAAGGGCTCCTCAGCCTTCCCCAGGATGCTGATCCCGGGGCTGAGTCCAGGGGAGGGAGCTGAGTGCTGCCGCCCTGCACACTCCCATTAGTACTCATGTCAGCCACTGCGGAGAGGACTCCAGGGCCCTCATCTGGGGCTGGCTCAGAGCAAGGAGGGTGCCTCTGGGCTGACAGAGGTGGACACTGTGTTTCACAATGGAAAGGATTCACTGGTTTTTCTGACTATGTAAATAATACACTCATTAGAAAAACATTCTGGCTCAGAGCAAGGAGGGTGCCTCTGGGCTGACAGAGGTGGACACTGTGTTTCACAATGGAAAGGATGCATTGTTTTTTCTGACTATGTAAATAATACACTTATTAGAAAAACACTCAAACTATGCAGGAAAATACTAAGCAAAGCTCATCTGAAATCGCAGCATCCCAAGACAACTGCCAGAATCGTTTGGATGATCAGCCTTTCATAGGCTTCTTCATGTGTGCTTGAGATTGATCAGTTTATATAAATGGGATCATATCAGACTGTCATCTTAAACATTCGTGGATACCTCATTTTATTATTTTATTTTATTTTTTAATTGAGACAGGGCCTCGCTCTGTTGCCCAGGCTGGAGTGCAGTGGCACCATCTCGGCTCACTGCAACCACTGCCTCTTGGGCTCAGGTGATTCTCCCACCTCAGCCTCCCAAGTAGCTGAGACCACAGGCACGTTCCTCTACACCGAGCTAATTTTTGTATTTTTAAATTTTTTTTTTTTTTGTGGAGGTGGAGTTTTGCCATGTTGCCCAGGCTGGTCTTGAACACCTGAGCTTAGACGGTCCTCCCGCCTTGACCTCCCAAAGTGCTGGGTGTGTGAGCCACCATACCCGGCTGGATACCTCATTTTTTTGTTGTTGGTTTTTGTTTTGTTTTTGAGAGGGAGTCTTGCTCTGTCGCCCAGGCTGGAATGTGGTGGTGCAATCTTAGCTCACTGCAACCTCCACCTCCTGGGTTCAAGCAATTATCCTGCCTCAGCTTCCTGAGTAGCTGTGACTACAGGCGTGTGCCACCACGCCTGGCTAATTTTTGTATATTTAGTAGAAATGGGGTTCACCATATTGGTCAAGCTGGTCTTGAACTCCTGACCTCAAGTGATCCTCCCTCCTCGGCCTCGCAAAGTGCTGGGATTACAGCTGTGAGCCACCATGCTCGGCTGGATACCTCATTTTAAAAATTTGGTTTTACTTACCCTCCATTCTCCATCATTCCCTCCGGTAGCCAACATTAACGAGTTGGTGTATATCCTTCTAGAATTTTCTCCATGCTCACATTTTAAACATGGACAGATACATATGTATATATACATATCCATCCACACACACACATATGGAGCCTGTCTTTGTTTTGTTAAAATGGGATCATTTTATATACTCTTCTCTAAAACTAACTTTTCTTTTTCACCAGAGCATCATGGAAATCACTCTAAGTCAACTGGTATAGATCATTATTTTGAATGGCTGCATGATAGTCTATTTGATAGTGATGTTAGTGTAGTCTGTTGACTTCTGTGGGCCACACTGGAAGAAGAAGAATTGTCTTGGCCAGGCACGGTGGCTCACGCCTGTAATCCCAGCACTTTGGGAAGCTGTGGTGGATGGAACACCTGAGATCAGGAGTTCGAGACCAGCCTGGCCAACATGGCGAAACCCCGTCTCTACTAAAAACACAAAAATTAGCTGTAGACTGGGCGCGGTGGTCCACGTCTATAATCCCAGCACTTTGGGAGGCTGAGGTGGGTGGATCACGAGGTCAGGAGTTCAAGACCAGCCTGGCCAGCATGGTGAAACTGTTGTCTCTACTAAAAATACAAAAAATTAGCCAGGCATGATGGCACACACCTGTAATCCCAGCTACTCTGGAGGCTGAGGCAGGAGAATTGCTAAACCCGGGAGGCAGAGGTTGCAGTGAGCCGAGATCATGCCATTGCACTCCAGCCTGGGTGACAGAGCGAGACTCCATCTCAAAAAAAAAAACAAACAACAAATTAGCCGAGTGTGGTGGTGTGCACCTGTGATCCCAGCTACTCGGGAGGCTGAGGCATGAGAATCGCTTGAACCTGGGAGGCAGAGGTTGCAGTGAGCCCCAAGATCACACCACTGCACTCCAGCCTGGGCAACAGAGTGAGACTCTGTCTCAAAAAAAAAAAAAAAAAAAGAATCGTCTTGGGCCACATATAAACACATAAAATACACTAACACTAATGATAGCTAATGAGCTAAAAAAAAAAAAAAACAAAAAAATTCATACTGTTTTAAGAAAGTTTACAAATTTGTGTGGGGCCGCATTCAAAGCCGTCCCGCCGCGGGTTGGACAGGCTTGGTCTATTATGTGGCTATGATACAGCTTACTTAGCCAACTGCTTCTATATTGTCGGGGATCTACATTGTTTCTCATTTTCCCACTACAAACAGGCTGCAGTAAACATTCTTGAGTACCTTGCCCTCATTGGCTTCTGGCTTTTTGTTGAGCTCGTGTCAGAAGTGCTGTCTACAAGGATAGTGGGAGCAGAAGCAGAGGTGGGGGTGGAAGGACCAGACCCCAAGGAAGATGCCAGCAGAGACTGGGCTACTGCCCACACTTACCTGTGCTATATCAAGCAGGAAAAGCTGCAGGTAAAAGGCTGTGGCGCTGGAGGCTATCTGGTTGGGGACCCCACCAATGCCATAGCACACCTTTGTACAGAATGAGAGGCGACCGGCTCTGCTGTCCTGGAGGAGACACAGGAACTAAGCCCTTCTCCCAACAGACACAAAACAGGTCCCCACACCCCATGACTTCAGTAAACATCCTGAGTCTCTGTGATGTCTTCAGGGCTTTTCCAGCAACCTCTCAGCCCCATTTTGCCCCCATGTCATCCTAAGAGGAAGTGAGACGAAGAGAAAAAAGATCCTAAACCCTGACCTCTAAACATTTCCAGGGGGGAAGTTCTTCTGGACATCTTACCCTGGGCTTCCTGCTGAAGCCGCCATCATTTACTGAGTCAGCACGGCCGTGTAAGCTGCAGGTCAGGAGACCTGGGCTTGAGCCTGCCTTTGTCACCTACCCCTCTATGTGACCTTGAATAAATCACATCATCTCTCTAAGCCTGTTTTCCTCATCTGTCAAATGCAACATCCCTGCCAACTTCACAAAGTTGTTTCTTCGATGAGTAAATGAGGCGATAGCTCATTTACCCATAGCCTGCCTACCCACAGCCCTCCAGGGATGCCTGGCAGGCGTCTCAGCTTAGCATGGTCTACATACAGCTCCTGATGGCCATTCCATTGTCTAATCCAGCTCCTAGCAAATGGCACCGCTGGTCCCCTCAGTGGCTCAGGCCACAAACTTAGGAGTCATCTATTCTTCTTTCCAGTTCTTGTCTATCAGTGAATGCCTCCTAAGTGGCTTCTGTGTCTGCCCTTGCTCCCTACAATCCACTCCACCCAGCAGCCAGTGCTCTTGTAATAACATAAATCGCACAGTGGCTCATCCCTATAAACCCAGCACTTTGGGAGGCCGAGGTAGGTGGATTGCTTGAGCCCAGGAGTTGAAGACCAGCCTGCCCAACATGGCAAAACCCCATCTCTACTAGAAACACAAAAATTAGCCAGGCATAGTGGCCGCCTGTAATCCCAGCTACTCAGGAGGCTGAGGCAAGAGAATTGCTTGAACCAGGGAGGCAGAGGTTGCAGTGAGCAAATATCACACCACTGCACTCCAGCCTGGGTGACAGAGACTCAGTCATAAATAAATAAATAAATAATCAGATCCCATCTCCTCTCTGATTAAAACTCTCCAATGGCTTGCTATTGCAGGGTTTTTTTGTCTGTTTTTGTGTGTGTGTGTGTGTGTGTGTGTGTGTTTTGTTTGTTTGTTTGTTTGTTTCCAGATCCATGGTATTCAGTCAATACCATTGCAGTTTGAATAAAACTCCAAGTCCTGATCATGGCTAAGGAGTCCACCCAGTCGGCCCCCTACCCACCTCACCTCAAATAGCTCTCCTTCAGCCACGCCGGGCTCCTTCCTATTCCTCAAAATCATCAAGTCTGTTGCTGCCTCAGGGCCTTTGCCCTTCCCATTCCTCTGCCTGGAAGGTGACTCCTTGTCATTCTGGTTTGATGTCACCAGCTTAAATGTCACCTCCTCCAAGAGGCATTCCCTAACCTCTCACCTCTCTCAGTTGTACTTACCGCCTGCTATATTTTCATTTAGTTCCTGCCTCTCCCTACAGGAATGTAAGCTCTCTGAGAGCATGAACTCCACCTTTTATTTATCATGGTGTTTCCAGTACCTAGAACAAAGCTTGGTATACAGTAGGTGCTTAGTATATATCCGTTGAAGCAATAAATGGCCATGAAGACCCTGTGTAAAGTGCTGTTTCTTTGGAAGAAGCTGGGCTCTTTTCTCATCGTTTGCTGGGGGCTGGAGGGAGTGGAGATGACATGGCTTCACCCATTTCCACATCTTGCAGGACACCCCAGCAGGCTCTTGTGAAGGGAAGGTCTCCCCAGATAAGGGTTTATCACACTTTGCACACTCTTCCTACCCACAGGGGAAAACCACACTGGGGGCAGGATGATTCTTTTCTGACATTTGTGTGAACATCATTTCAGCTTCCAGAAAACTTTAAGAACAGGCAGAATTCAACGTGACAGTCCCCCTCTCCCCCTAATGGGGACTCTTGTATCCCCCAAAACAGGCCTAGCAAGTTTTTAGAACTTTAGAAAGAACTTCCAAGTGAAGCCAGGGATATGATCCCATCTTGCCGTCTTGAGGATGACAGTTTTACCGAAAGTCATAAAAGCCCGGTACAGCTGTACAGTGAGCTGTACAAGGAGAAGCCCCTTGGGAGGGGCGGCTCCGGGCGAGGGGCGCAGCCCTGCTATCTCTAGCTGCGTGACCCAGGGCAGGGCACCTCGGTCTCCTTGGAGTGACCGGGGCTGCCACCCCTCGGAGAGTCGTAAGAGGATTCCACGCCGGAACTTCATCAGCAATGCGAGTGTTTCCCTCTTGCTGTTAATCTCACCCTGAATTTCTAAGTTTCCCTGGGAAGTGAGAGTCCCCGGAGAGCCCCTTCATCTCACCTCACTTTCTTGTGGGATGCAATCCTGTGCTCCCAGGTGCCTCGTAGGAAGCCCTGAACAGGCTGGGGGCTGAGGTGGTCAGGGGAGGCCACAGAATGCCCTGGGCACGAGCAGGGAGCAGGCGCGTTCAGTGAGGCCCAGGAAGCCCCAGGCCCCTTGCTCCGTCCAGCACAGCCCCACTGGCCAGCACGGCCCGGCGGCATCGGGCAAGGGACAAGGGGCCCCGAAGACCCCGCCGCTCCCACCTGCCCTCCTCCCTTCTTGTCGGAGCCCATGGCCAGGACCTTCCCTGAGGCTGCCTCCAAGGGGAGCCTGGTGCCTGGGCGAGGCCAGGGTCTGGGAGGGAGGCCGAGGCCACAGCAGCTGCCTGAGGTCGGGAAGGACGCAGCCTCCCCAGGCGCTTCAGAAAGCCCTGCCTGCCCAGAGCTCGGGGACCCCGGGAGGACCTGCGGTGGCACGGACAAGACCCCTAAGCCGGGAATCAGGACAGCAATGACCACGCATCCCCAAGTTACTTCCTTGGCTAGGGCTAGGCTTCCCGTCCTAGTCTCTTTCCGGCGCCGGCACCTACCAGCCTCCCCGCTCCCAGCCGTGTAACCCCGCGAGGGCAGCCCCTGAGCTGGCAGGTTTGGGCCGAGCCCCTCCGGGCTGCCCCCAGCTGGAAAAGGGGCTGCGAGGCGACGCCCTGGAGCTCCCCGAGGACGCAGCCCCTTCCCGGTCCCCGCCGCCCCGCTCACCTCTCGCCCTCGCTTGGCGCTCCCCGGGCCGGGCTCTGGGGCGTGCGGCTCCGGCTGCGGGGACCCCTTGGCGGCTGGTGCAGGGGGCGCCGCCATTGCCACCGCAGCGCCGCCCGCGGCCGTTGCCCTCGGGGTTATCGCCCTTGGGAGGGGCGGTTCTGGGCTAGGGGCGCGGCGCGAGTGGCTGCTGGCAACGCGGGGGAAACGCAGAAACCGCGAAGGGCACCCCAAAGGGAAACAGCGAAGAACCAAAATCCGCGGGGGGAAAGGCCCGGCAGGCCCTCAGGACCGTTCTCCTTGGGGTGGATCCCCGGGGGCGTGAGCGCCCGCAGACGGCGGCCCTGCGCGCTAAGGGCTCCGCCAGACCGCTGGGGTGACCGCGGGCAAGCAGCAGCTCCCCTGCAAAATGAAGCAAGAGGCCCGCTCGTTCAGGCTGGACCATGGCTGAACAGGCATTCCGCCGGCTACACATGATGCCCAACGCCTGAAATATACATTGTCGAGTCTCCTATACAGACCACGGGGATGGCCAGTAACTAAGTTCTGGCCAGCGAATAAAAGCAGGTGGCACAGGCCAACATTCCAGAAAAGTCCTTAAAAGGGAAGGGGGGTGACAGCAGGTAGCTAGTCAGCCTCGAAAAGGGCAGGAGAGGGCCACGCTTCCAACCAGGTACGTCAGGCAACCATCAGGCGACAGTCAGGCGGTTGTTATGCTCCCTCTAAAATGATCATTGATCCAGCGGGGCCAGGGAAAGGCAGTCTCCCAATAGATAGAGAAAACCTGAAACTGGTGATCAGCTTCTCGGTAAGATCTCAGGAGCTGGGCAAGTGGGCTTACACAAATTGCGGAGTTTAACTGACATGTGACCCTCGAAGGACACCGGACTGGTAAGGGAAGAACGCCTCCAGTGAGCATGGGTACAACTCCAGTATACACAGTGTGCACACTCCCCTCCCAAGTGCTGGCAGACCACTGCCCATGCAGGCAGGCCTCCCAAGGGAAGAATCAGGGGAGAAGGGATGCAAGACCCCAGAAGTATGCCAATGCATAAGACCCCAGGTCAAAAGGTCAAACTGTGCGCTTCTTTTTCAGGTCACCCGCTTGGCCCTCTTCCAAGTGTACTTTCCTTCCTTCCATTTCTGCTGTAGAGCTTTTTAATAAACTTTTATTCCTGCTCTAAAACTTGCCTCAGTCTCTCCTTCTGCCTTATGCCCCTCAGTGGAATTCTTTCTTCTGAGGAGGCAGGAACTGAGGTTGCTGCAGACCCATATAGATTCACTCCTGCTGACATATTTTGGTGCCACGTGACTCAGATACCTTCCACCAGTAACAGGGGTACACATTAACTAAAAATGCATCATAGACCTAGAATGTAAAACTTATGAAAAAACAGGAGCAAGGGACAGGCACGGTGGCTCATGCCTGTAATCCCAGCTACTCGGCAGGCTGAGGCAGGAGAATCGCTTGAACCCGGGAGGCGGAGATTGCAGTGAGCCAAGATCGTGCCACTGCATTCCAGCCTGGGTGACAGAGGGAGACTCTGTCTCAAAAACAAAAACAAAAACAAAACCAACCAAACACAAAAAACCCAGAAGCAACTCTTCATCATATTGGGCCAGGCAATTGTTTCTTAGGACGCCAAAAGCACAAGCTGGATGAACTACAAAAGTTTTCAAAATGAAAACCTTTGTGCTGTAAACGATTCCAACAAGTGGGTATAAAGACAACCCACAGAATGGGAGAAAAGGGATTTGTATTGGAATCAACTTTCACAACTCAACAATTAAAAGACAATCCAATTCTAAAATGGGCAAAGAATTTGGATATTTCTCTAAAGATATACAAATGAACAGTAAGCACATGGAAATACAAATCGAAACTACAGTGAGACACCATTTCATATCCACAGGGTGGCTGTAATTAAAATGAGACAAGTATTGGGGAGGATGTGGAGAAATCAGAACCCCTATACACTGCTAGTGGGAATGGAAACTAGTGACAGTCCTTTGGAAAAGTTTGGCAGTTTCTCAAAGTAAAACGTGGAATTACCACATGACCCGCAATTCCACTCTTAGGTGTATACACCCTACAGAAATGAAAACATGTTCACATAAAATCTTGAACATGAATGTTCATTAGCAGCATTCATATATATATACATATATATATAATGTGTGTGTGTATATATATATGCCAAAGAGGACACAAGCCAATGTCCATCAGGTTATGAATGAATAAATATAATGTGGTATATCCATACAATGGACTACTGTTGGGCAAGAAAAAGGAATGAAGGACCAATGCATGCTACAACACAGATGAACCTTGATGACAGTATGCTAAGTAAAAGAAGCCAGTCACAAGACTACAAATTGTATTATTCCATTTATGTCAAATGTCTAGAATAGGCAAATAGAGAGTGACAGAATGTACATTTGTAGTTGCTTGGGACTGGGCTAGGGAGTTACTGCTAAGGCATGTGAGGTTTTAGAATGGACAAACATTTTCTAAAGTTAAATTGTGATGGTTGCACAACCCTATAAATACACTAAAAACCATTGAATTGTATACTTTATTTTTATTTATTTATTTTTTTGAGACAGAGTCTTGTTGCCCAGGCTGGAATGCCGGGGCACGATCTCGGCTCACTGCAACCCCCACCTCCCGGGTTCAAGTGATTCTCCTGTTTCAGCCTCCCGAGTAGCTGGGATTACAGGCATGTGCCACCACTCCCGGCTAATTTTTGTATTTGTAGTAGAGATGTGCTTTCACCATGTTGGCCAGGCTGGTCTTGAACTCCTGATCCTCAGGTGATCCACCTCGGCCTCCCAAAGTGCTGGGATTACAGTGAGCCATCGGCCTAGCCTGAATTGTATACTTTAAATGGGTGAATTGCACAGCATGTGAATTACATCTCAATAAAGCTGTTTAAAAGGAAAGATATCTGCTTCTTCCTATTGGCTGAAATACAAATGTGTCGGCTGGTGCTAGTGCAGCTACCCTGAGACCCCAAGTCTACAGAGTGATGAGATTGGCAGATCAACAGTACAGGAATCTGATGATTTTATGAGGTTGATCTACCAGCCCTGAACTGCTTCCCTCTGGACTTTTGCATGGGAAATAAAATTTGACCTTGTAAGCAACTATTATTCTGGATTTTCTGTCACAGCTAAATCTAATCCTAAAGGATACACTACCCAGTTTAGAGCAAGTCATTCCATTTTATATGTCTTAATTCCTTAATCTACAAAATGGGTACATTTTGTTTCCCTGATTGCAAATACAAGGATAGATTAGATAATGCATGTGCTAAATATTTAATTCCTTGGAAATTAAATATAAACTAAAGCCAAAGTTTCTTTAGATAATCTACTTTTACAATTTGTGGGTTTTTTTTTTTTTTCCTTTCTGTGGAGAATAGGATCTTGCTATGTTTCTCCGACTGGTCTCGAACTCTTGGGCTCAAGCTTTATTCCTGCCTCTGCCTCCCTAAGTGTTGGGATTACAGGCGTGAGCCACTGTGTTCAGCTAGATAATCAATCTACTTTCAAGTACATCCTACTGATACGCATTTTTAAAAGGTTTGGAAATATTGCATTCTCAACACTTGTACTTTGTTGTTTATACTACTGCAATTTTAAGTTTGAAAGGCAGCAGGTAAAAACAATTTTAAAAATTAAAAAATGACTGGGCACAGTGGCTTACACCTGTAATCCCAGCACTTTGGGAAGCTGAGGTGGGTGGATCACCTGAGGTCAGGAGTTCAAGACCAGCCTGACCAACATGGCGAAACCCCGTCTCTACTAAAAAAACATAAAATTAGTCAAGCGTGGTGGCGGGCTCCTGTAATCCCAGCTACTTGGGAGGCTGAGGCAGGAGAATCGCTTGAACCTGGGAGGTGGAGGTTGCAGTGAGCTGAGATCGCACCATTGCACTCCAGCCTGGGCAACAAGAGTGAAACTCCATCTCAAAAAAAAAAAAAAAATTAAACAATAACTCTTTTGGACAGCAAAAAATGTAATTATAATAAAAGTCATTTCCCTAACAGTCAGTATTCTATTTAAAGTGATGGTAAGTTCATAATGTAATTTTTAATGCAAAAGACAAATTAGATTTCAATAAAGTAGGATTAAATAACAAAGGCAGCTGCCTTTTAATTAAAACAAGACTAAAAGCTGATATACTAAAAAATATCTGAAAGGATGCACATCAAAATGTTACTAGTAGTTTTTAATTTCTAATTTTTATTTTTTACTTTTTTCTTTTTCTTTTTTTCAAGACAGAATCTTGCTCTGTCGCTCAGGCTGGAGTGCAGCCACATGATCTCGGCTCACTGCAACCTCTGCCTCCTGGGTTCAAGCGATTCTCCTGCCTCAGCCTCCCGAGTAGCTGGGATTACAGGCGCGTGCCACCATGCCTGGCTAATTTTTGTATTTTTAATAGAGACGGGGTTTTACCATGTTGGCTAGGCTGGTCTGGAATTCCTGATCTTGTGATCAGCCCACCTCGGCCTCACAAACTGCTGGGATTACAGGCATGAGCCACTGCGCCTGGCTTTTTTTTTTTTCACTTTTTAAACTATTCACAGGTGTACTACCACTACTGATCAGCATTCGTTCTTGCTCCTTTTCCAATGGGCAACCTGGTAGTCCCCCGTTCCAGTGAGATCACCAAATTGATGCCAAACTTAGTGCAGACACCTGACCGACTGGCAGAGCACACTATACCCCAGAACTTCTGGGCTCAAGCGAGCCTCCTGCCTCAGTCTCCTGAATAGCTGGGACAACAGGCATGCACCACTAGGACCAGTAGTGGTTATATGTGAAAGGCAGAATAATAGGTGATTTAAGGATCATTTTAGCATATCTGCATATTATAGTTTTCTATAATGAATATAAATTATCTGTGCAAAAAATACATTAAAACAAATGACAAAGCCAAATACTGGTCTACTGAATAAGCCATTTCCATCTGAAGGTTTAGTGCAATGAGCAATTTTTTCATAAAATGGTTTGTACTTAGGAAAAGAACAAAGGAGTAAACCCTACTAAAGAGTCTTCATGCTAGTTCAGCTGATAACACAAAGAATAAATGAAAAATTAAACATATCATTGAGTTAGTATTCAAAAATAGCACATCTTTACATTTCTGAGTATTAAATGAAAGTAATGTTGGTTAAAGCAAAAGCACCTAATAAATGTTTGTTGATTATCAAACTGAATGACTTTGCCAAATAAAATGACAAGTGTATTTGCATATAACTATTTTATAACAAGGGTAAATGATTTCACAGATCCTTTTAATGAACAGTATTTCATTAACAGTTCTTCAACTGTCAGCAAAAGATTGCTCTCAAAATACTTTAAGGCACTGAAATAGATGCACACATATTATCAACATGCTGAAATGTCATGAAAAATTATACCGAGAGAAGTATATAAAATAAGATTATTTTTTAAACTGAAAAAAATGCATAGTAATTAACCAATAAACCACAATCTGTAACATTAGATATGTATTTCTTTTTTTCTTTTTTTTGAGACGGAGTCTCGCTCTGTTGCCCAGGCTGGAGTGCAGTGGCACGATCTCGGCTCACTGCAACCTCTGCCTCCGGGGCTCAGGTGATTCTCCTGCCTCAGCCTCCTGAGTAGCTGGGACTACAGGCGCACACCACTACACCCAGCTAATTTTTGTATTTTTAGTATAGACGGGGTTTCCCCATGTTGACCAGGATGGTCTCGATCTCTTGACCTCGTGATCCATCCACCTCAGCCTCCCAAAGTGCTGGGATTGCAGGCATGAGTCACCGTGCCTGGCCTAGATATGTATTTCTATATATCAGCCCTAACAATTATTTTCAAGAAACTGAAGACAGTTTTGAAACAATTGCTTAGGTCAAATTGTATGCCCCATCTAAGGTGATTATTTTCAAGTTTTCCTTCCCTTAGCAAATTGTTTGTTTTCCAAAGTCAACCTCTTTTGATAATTATACACATTTAACTAACAATTTTACAACTTTTAAATTCTCAGTTAAAAAGCTTTACTGGATGATTCTCATTGTAGAAAATCTTTGAGGATATTATTCGCATTAATGAACGTTTCACAGTTAGAATAATGAAGGTTATTGATGACAACAGGTCTTTCTCCATAGGACCCTTACTGGGATGTATTCTACAGGTACATACAAAAGAACCTCCCATGTATCTTCTGGTTAAATAATTATAAACCGGAAAATCTACCAAAGAGGCTTTTCTATAGGTACACAGGAAACATTCTCAATGAGAGACCCCTACATGGAGAATCATATGTTGACTATAATTATGCAAATAAAAATGCTACATGATAGGCCTATATGAAACATTTTCTTAGATTCCTGAACATGTATTAACTGTCATCCTGTTATTTTCTATATCAGAAAGATAAGCTCATTGATTTTATCATTGCCTCTTTTTTTTTTTTTTTTTTTTGGTAAGAACATTATTTTTGTTTCACTACAGAGAGGCTCTAACACTGCTGTGTAAACATTACCAACAATAATTATTTATTTTCTATTATGTACCTGTTCATTTCTAAGAGTAATGGACAAAAGAAAAGGCTCTCCTTTGTCCTCCCTCTCTTCCTAATTAAAAGAGCCTTCTGCCCCATGGAAGGCTGGGAGCTAGGAAAAGCAGCATTCTCACAATAGACTGCAATCAGAAGATAGATTTTATGTCAGGTCATCTAGTTACATAGATATTTCCCTGTTGTTATTCCTGAGTCCTTAGTAAAAACCTTAATTAAATGTTCCAGCCTTGTCTCGGCTGTGCTATAGGAGGTAAAGCACAAGTTTATGTCATGATTGGTTCAGTGACAAAAGGGAACAGACTCTTTCCAAGAGCAAACTGGGTGACAAGGATAAACTTAGTGGTCTAGCAGATGTGTTTCAGTGGAGTCTCCCACCGTCCATGGTGAAAGCATGCAGGTTTTATTTTCTCAGGGTAAAAGCTTAGGACAGAATTTCCTGAAGAAAGGTACTTCCACCACATACTTAAGAATCACGTGAGATTAAAAATGCAGAGATCTGAGACCCATCACAGATACAGTGAATCAGAATCTTTGTGGTAGGTGGCAGGAATGGCATTTTTGAAAAGCTGCCCCAAATGATTCTGAAACTAAGGCTTCAGAATCATTGTGAACCATCACTTTATATAGATTGGTTCTCAAAGTGTGCCTGAGGGATCCCTGGAGATTCCCAAGACCCATTCAGGGCACTGTGAAGTCAAAACGTTTTTCATAATCATACTAAGGCATTATTTGCTTCTTTTCATTCTTTCACCAGTATACAGAGGTGTTTTCCAGAGTCTACATGATATGTGACTGCACAACAGACTGAATGTAGAAGACATGAGAACCCATCTATCTTCTTTATGACAGAAAGTAATTCCCCCCAAAAAACCGGCCACTTTTCTCACTAAATCGTTTCATGTTTTATAAGTTATTATTGGCTGGGCACAGTGGCTCACGCCTATAATCCTAGCACTTTGGGAGGCCAAGGCGGGCGGATCACCTGAGGTTACGAGTTAGAGGCCAGCCAGGCCAACATGGCGAAACCCCGTCTCTACTAAAAATACAAAAATTAGCCAGGCGTGGTAGTGGGCGCCTATAATCCCAGCTACTCGGGAGGCTGTGGCAGAAGAATCGCTTGAACCCGGGGGGACAAGTTGCAGTGAGCCAAGATCGCGCCATTGCACTCTAGTCTGGGGGAAAGAGCAAAACTCTATCTCAAAAAAAAAAAAGTTATTATTATTACGGCAGGGTCTTACTCTGTTGCCTAAGCTAGAGTGCAGTGGCGCAATCTCGGCTCACTGCAACCTCTGCCTCCTGAGTTCAAGCAATTCTCCTCCCTCAGCCTCCCTAGTAGCTGAGATTACAGGCATGTGCCACCACACCAGGCTAATTTTTGTATTTTTAGTACAGACATGGTTTCACCACATTGACCAGGCTGGTCTCGAACTCCTGACCTCAGGTGATCTGCCCGCTTTAGTGTCCCAAAGTGCTGGGATTACAGGTGTGAGCTACTGCACTAATTTTTGTAATTTTTATAGATAGAGTTTTGCCTTGTTGCCCAGGCTGGTCTCAAACTCCTGGGCTCAAGTGATCCACCTGTCTTGGCCTCCCAAAGTGCTAGGATTACAGGCGTGAGACACCATGTCCAGCCAGAAGTTATTTTTAAATGAATAATTTTTTTTTTTTGAGAAAGAGTCTCGCTCCGTCACCAGGCTGGAGTGCAGGGGCGCAATCTCGGCTCACTGAAACCTCCACCTCCCGGGTTCAAGCCATTCTCCTCCCTCAGCCTCCCACGTAGCTGGGACTACAGGCGCATGCCACCACACCCAGCTAATTTTTTTTGTATTTTTAGTAGAGACGGGGATTCACCATGTTGGACAGGATGGTCTCAATCACTTGACCTTGTGATCCGCCTGCCTCAGCCTCCCAAAGTGCTGGGATTACAGGCGTAAGCCACCGTGCCTGGCCCATAAATAAATATTTTAAAAATTTAATATTTAATATAATAATATATATAGCTCACATAAACAAATGGTCTTGAGATAAAAATGTTTGAGAGTTGCTGTTTCATAGCAGGCATCTCGCACCCTATGAACATTACTGCTGCTATGGACCACTTAGTTCCTTGGCACACTCAATGCATGCTTCATTTTAAATCTGATTCAATAGATCATTTGCAAAAAAAAATGTTAAACTTATTTTCAGGTATGGGGATTTAATCTGACAGTGAAAAATTGAGGTCTAACTGGATTTAGTTAAAGTCTGAGATATAAAGCCTGTTTTTCTTCGTGATATCAAAATGAAATAATCTTTAAATGTATTCACAAGTTGACTCTGATGTATGAAACAGAAAACCAGCTGGGCACGGTGGTTCACACTTGTAATCCCAGCACTTCAGGAGGCCTAGGCAGGCAGATCCCCTGAGGTCGGGAGTTCGAGACCAGCCTGACCAACATGGTGAAATCCCGTGTCTACTAAAAATGCAAAATTAGCCAAGCATGGTGGCGCATGCCTGTAATCCCAGCTACTTGGGAGGCTGAGCAGGAGAATCTCTTGAACCCGGGAGGTGGAGGTTGTGGTGAGCTGAGATTGCGCCACTGCACTCCAGCCTGGGCAACAAGAGCGAAACTCCATCTCAAACAAACGAAAAAGAAACAGAAAACCATACTTTATATGATGCATTTAAAAAATACTAGTAATGTGACACACACCGGCATTATATTCTAAGTGAGTGGTGGCAAATGAATGGCTAATCCCAAATGTTAGCCAAAAACAAATCCATAATTTTTGAAAGAAAATAAAATGGAAAGGGAATAGGCTTTTTAGAAAGATAATTTTCTTTTATTACATTTTTATAAAGTGTAGAAATGTGAGTAGGCAGATTAATCTTGATACTATACTGAGCTACACAATTTTATTCTTTTATTTTTTAAATTAAAAAAATATATAGACAGGGGTCTCACTCTGTTGATCATTCTGGTTTTAAACTCCTGGCTTCAAGTGATCCTCCCATCTCAGCCTCCCAAAGTGCTGGGATTACAGGCATGAGCCATTGCACCCGGCCACAATTATTTATATTTATTTTACTTTATTTTATTTATTTTTGAGAGGGGGTCTTGCTCTGTCGCCAAGCTGGAGTACAGTTGCTCAATCTCAGCTCACTGCAACCTACACTTGCCAGGTTCAAGAGATTCTCCTGCCTCAGCCTCCCGAGTAGCTGGGACTACAGTTGCGCACCGCCACGCCCAGCTAATTTTTGTATTTTTACTAGAGATGGGGTTTCACCATGTTTGCCAGGATGGTCTCAATCTGTTGACCTCGTGATCTGCCTGTCTCGGCCTCCCGAAGTTCTGGGATTACAGGCATGAACCACTGTACCCGGTCGTATTAGCTATTTAAAAACTCAGACAGCTAACATTTAAATAAATCCCTGCTGTCTGGGAATGATGTCTGAATGAATATTGTGAATACATATGCTAATTTATACCATATTAAGATTCTAAACAATACAGCTATTTAATATATCTTGATAACTGGTATTTGAAAATAAGTCTATTTTTCTGGGTAGTCTTTTGGAGAAAGTGCACTGAATATAGTTTCCAGTCATATGCTACTTTCTTAACTTGTACTTATCTAAACATCTTCTCATCAGGAGAGAGTTCAATAGTACTCGAACCAAAAGTCTAGTGAGTCTGACTTCTCCAATCCCCAATTTTGGTTTGCATGTCCACTTACAACCATCATTTCTCTGCAAATTTTCCACTTAGTCTATCAAAAATCAGTGCTCTGAAAGTTCTCTAAAAGATGCAGTTTTTTGGAGTCTCTGAATGATGACAGCATTCTGTAAATCTGCTTCTTCCAGTGTGAGTGTCTCATCTAGCAACCTGAGGACAGGAAGAGCTGTTGCCAGGGAAAACGGAGGACTTCTTTGAGATCCTTGGTATTTTTCAATGAAGTCTTTGATATGGCTTACTCTGTAAAACAGCAAAAACTATTAATATAATTTTAGGAAAATTTGAATTACCTAATTTATAGTAACAACAACTGGTAAAAGTATCTGGATATGTTATTATTAGAGATAGCGTCTTGCTTTGTCACCCAGGATGCAGTGCAGTGGTGCCATCATAATAACTCCTGGGCTCAACTGATCCTCCTGCCTCAGCCTCCCAAAGTGCTGAGATCACAGGCATGAGCCACAACACCCAGACTCTGGATATGTTAATATATAGAATAACTGAATTTATGATATAACTGATTATTTGGGCTATCTTTTAAAGTTTGACTCCCAGAAATTTGATGACAATACTACTACTACTGTTAATTATCTTAGGTAAGATAATTAGTACTATGAATTACTACTGTTAATTATCTTAGGTAAGACAAAGGAATTATGGCTATGTTTTACAGAGGCTGTCACAATTGTATCATGATCGTCATGTAGCCATGGATTATAGAATGCATCCTCATTTCACAGATGCTAAAATGTGAAAAAATGTGCAACTCAGAATTAATGAAATATGCCTATCACTAAAGAAAGAATTCTCTCATTCAATCAATTCACTAAAATTCACTACGTGCCACTTTATTAAACCTGTAAGGGCTACCAAAAAAGTCTAAGACCCAGTCCTGTGTATTCATTTGGGTACCAAAAATTGGATAACTAAAGGTTAAAGCTTATGTCAAAGAACATAAATATAAAAAGCAAGAAAACAAAGGTTAAAAGAACTGGGGAAAGATTGCTGGAGGTGGAAGGATTGGAGTGTGGACTTAAAAGACAGGTCCAGCTGCTCGGGAGGCTGAGGAGGGAGACGAAGGTTGATCGCGGGAGACGAAGGTTGCAGTGAGCTGAGATCATGTCACCGTACCCTAACCTGGATGAAAGGGTGAGACCCTGTCTCAAAAAAAAAGATTCTTTTCTTTTTTTTGAGATGGAGTCTAGCTCTGTTGCCTGGGCTGGAATGCAGCGGCGTGATCTTGGCTCACTGCAACCTCCACCTCCCGGGTTCAAGCAATTCTCCCTGCCTCAGCCTCCCTAGTAGCTGGGATTATAGGCGCCTGCCACCACATCCGGCTAGTTTTTGTATTTCTTAGTAGAGATGGGGTTTTGCCATGTTGGCCAAGCTTGTTTGAACTCCTGACCTCAGGTGATCCACCCGCTTAAGCCTCTCAAAGTGCTGGGATTACAGGTGTGAGCCACCGTGCCCAGCCAAGATTCTTACCCATTATTCTTCTCTGCTTTTATATTTTTCAAATGTGTCTTCTCAAATATTATATGACTTATTTATTTTCTGTCTCTCCTGACTAGAAATTACACAAAACAAGTATTTTCTGTTTCTGTTCATAGATACATCCTTGGTGCCTAGAAAAGTACCTATCAGAGATACAATAAATATTGGATGAGTGAAAAATAAATTAAAAAGCTCATGTATCAATGATGATGACAACCAAAAACTAGAAAGTGGAAATGACAGAAACAAAAAACAATGTTGAGAGATATTCTATATTTATGTATTAAGTTAGAAAATATTAAAATAGGCCAGGTGTGGTGGCTCACGCCTGTAATCCCAGCACTTTGGGAGGCTGAGGTGGGTGGATCACCTGAGGTCAGGAGTTCAAGACTAGTCTGGCCAACATAGTGAAACTCTGTCTTTACTAAAAATACAAAAATTATCTGGGTGTGGTGGTGGTCACCTGTAATCCCAGCTACTCAGGAGGCTGAGGCAGGAGAATCACTTGAACCCAGGAGGCGAGGTTGCAGTGAGCCAAAATGACGCCACTGCACTCCAGCCTGGGTGACAAGAGCAAGACTCCATCTTAAAAAAAAAAAAAAGAAAATATTAAAATAAAGTTCTGGCAAAACTAATAAAATCAAAACAAATGCAATATATAAAGGCTTTAGAGGCCGGGTACGGTGGCTCACACCTGTAATCCCAGCACTTTGGGAGGCCGAGGCAGGCAGATCACGAGATCAAGAGACTGAGACCATCCTGGCCAACATGGTGAAATTCCGTCTCTACTAAAAATACAAAAACTAGCTGGGTGTGGTGGTGCCTGTAGTCCCAGGTACTTAGGAGGCTGAGGCAGGAGAATCGCTTGAACCTGGGAGGCAGAGGTTGCAGTGAGCCGAGATTGCGCCACTGCACTCCAGCCTGGGCGACAGAGCAGGACTCCGTCTCAAAAATAAATAAATAAAAATAAATAAATAAAGGCTTTAGACTGTTGACATTCTTAAATCCAGAGATATAAGAAATCAGATGTGCTTATGTAAATTGCTATTTTATCACAGCCTTAACATCTAATTTACCAAAAGAAGAAAATAAATCCAATGAAAGTATAAAGGTATTTTCAGAAATAGAATTGACTAAGCAGAAAGTTAGTATTTAAAGAGACTAATAAAAATGAACAAATCTGACAAGATTTATCAAGAAAAATAGGCTGGCTCACACTTGTAATCCCAGGACTTTGGGAGGCCAAAGCAGGAGGATCACTTGAGCCCAGGAATTCCAGATCAATCTAGGCAATATAGCAAGACCCTATCTCTAAATAAAAAAGAAAACAGCACTGGGCGCAGTGGCACATGCGTATAGTCCCAGCTACTTGGGAAGCTGAGGTGGGAGGATTCCCTGAGCCCAGGATTTCCGGGGCTGTAGTGTGCTATGGCAATCAGGTGCTCGCAGTAACTTTGGAATCAATATGGTGAACTCCAGGTGAAAGAGGTTCCCTAAGGTGGGGGGAACCAGCCCAGGTCAGAAATTGAGCAAGTAAAAACTCCTGTGCTGATCAGTAGTGGGATCGCACCTGTGAATAGCCCTGCCAATCCAGCCTGGGCAACATAGCGAGACCCCATCTCTTATTAAAAAAAAAAAAAAAAGTCTGGGCATGGTGGCTCATGCCTGTGATCCCAGCACTTTGGGAGGCTGAGGCGGGTAGATCATGAGGTCAGGAGTTCGAGACCAGCCTGACCAACATGGTGAAACCCCATCTCTACTAAAAATACAAAAATTAGCTGGGCATGGTGGCAGGCGCCTGTAGTTCCAGCTACTTGGGAGGCTGAGGCAGGAGAATCTCTTGAAACCGTAAGGTGGAGGTTGCAGTGAGCCGAGATCGTGCCACTGCACTCCAGCCTGGGCAACAAGAGCGAAACTCTATCTTAAAAAAAAAAAAAAGAAAAAGAAAAAGAAAAAAGAAAACAGAAAAAGAGAAGGCATAATTGAACAACAATAGGAATGCAAATGCAGCATAACTAAAGATTCAGCAGAGTGTAAAAAGACATTAAGAGGGCTGGGCATGGTGACTCATGCCTGTACTCTCAGCACTTTAGGAGGCTGAGGCAGACAGATCACCTGAGTTCAGGAGTTCAAGACCAGCCTGGCCAATATGGTGAACACTGTTTCTACTAAAAATATAAAAAATTAGCCAAGCATGGTGGCACGCGCCTGTAGTCCCAGCTACTCGGGAGGCTGAGGCAGGAGAATCACTTGAACCCAGGAAACAGAGGTTGCAGTGAGCCGAGATCATGCCACTGCACTCCAGCCTTGGCGACAGAGCAAGACTCTGACTCAAAAAAAAAAAAAAAAAAATTAGCCAGGCGTGGTGACGCACACCTGTAATCCCAGCTACTTGGAAGGCTGAGGCAGGAGAATTGCTCGAACCTGGGAGGTGGTGCAGGTTGCAGTGAGCCGAGATTGAGCCACTGCACTCCAAATTGGGTGACAGAACAAGAATTCATCTCAAAAAAACAAATAAATAAAAAATAAAAAGACAATAAGAGGATTTTGTTTTGATCATTGATGAAATGGCTTTTATTGAAGTAGTGCTCCTAAAAATATTGCTATAAAAGCTGGACAATATACAGACTTAAAATGCTTTGACGTAACTATTTTTCAACTTTACAATGGGTTCATCAGGGTATTAAATGCATTTTCTTTTTTTTTTCTTTTCTTTTTTTTTTTTGAGACAGAGTCTTGCTCTGTCGCCCAGGCTGGAGTGCAGTGGCGTGATCTTGGCTCACTGCAAGCTCCGCCCCCTGGGTTCACACCATTCTCCTGCCTCAGCCTCCCGAGTAGCTGGGACTACAGACGCCCGCTACCACGCCTGGCTAATTTTTTTTGTATTTTTAGTAGATCCGGGGTTTCACCATGTTAGCCAGGATGGTCTCGATCTCCTGACCTCGTGATCCGCCCGCCTCAGCCTCCCAAAGTGCTGGGTAAATGCATTTTCAACGTGGATGGGCTTATTGGGACATTACATCATAAGTCAAGGAGCGTCTAAACATAAAAGCGCTATGTGAAAGCACTGAAGACCAACCAATGTAAATCATCTGAGAGCCCTGTAGGAAGGAAATGCACAAGGTGAGCTCCACATTTACACTGGTTTTTTCACTGAGGGCACTTTCCAATTTGTAGCAGTGAATTAGAGGGAAAAAAAAAAGCCATTTCACTACACCAAGGAGAGACAAGAAGCTGGGATTTATAAGCCAAAATCCTGAAACAGAGGGACCCATAAAGAAACGTGACCAGAAAACCGTAACAAATTCTTAAGTTATTGGCTAACTCCTCAGCTATTAGTAGAATGAGAATTCAAAGAACCCAACAGAAAACAGCGACTGAGGAGAGATTCTAGCAGCTCCAAAATGCTGGGCACACAGACTCTAGAGTTTAAGCTCTGCCAATGTGGAGGAGTCTTGGTAAACACCCAGGTTTTCACCACTTCTAAGGGTCAGACCCTAAGGTTCAAGTCCATGCTCTAAAAGCAAAACAGATAACCAACCAGCCCCAGTAAAGTCTACAGTCAATCCAACTAACTCTTAATAAAATCAACATAATCCATTAGGAATCTGTCTGATAGAAGCATAGGTATCTTTGGAGGAAGATGATGTCATCTGAAACGTCTACAATGTTTCCATAAACAAGGTCTAATGACCAGATGAATTATAAGGTATGCTAAAATCCAGAAGAAGCAACAGATAAAATAAAAAGATGAGGAATTTCACCAGACACCTGAAAAATAACAGACTCAAATGAAAAGTCTACAAGTGACAGTAGAATTGAAAGTAAGAATTCCAACACATGTATTTAACAGACCAGACCAATACAACAGATTACTGAACTCGAAGACAGGTCAAATAGAAAATATGCAGACTGAATCAGAAGGAAAAAGAAGAAAAAAATTAGAAAAGAATATAAGATACACTGAAAACATCTAACATACATGTAAATAAAGCCACAAATGCCAAAGACAAAAGAGAATAAAATACGAGAACATTTCCATCAATACTGGCCAAGAAACTCCCCAAACTGACAAAAAACCTTAACTATGGATCCAAGAAACTCAGCAAATTCTAAGCAATATAATGCAAAGATAACTAACACCTAGGCACATCATATTCAAGCTATTAAAATCTAAGAACAAAGAGAAAAATTTTAAACTGAGAGGAAAAAAGACTTAATATCTTTCAAAAGAGCAAGAAAAAGGCTGACAGCTGATTTTTGAGTAGGAGAGTGGAAGCTGGAAGACAACATATGGGCATTCTTAAGAGCTGATGTGCTAGAAAAACCTGACAGTTCTAGCCTAGTGAAAATGGTCTTTAAAAATGAAGATGTGTTCAAATCAAAGCTAAGAGAATTCATCATTAGTAGATAAGCAATTAAAGAGATACTAAAGGCAGGGCTCGGTGACTCACGCCTGTAATCCCAGCACTTTGGGAAGCCGAGGCGGACCACAAGGTCAGGAGTTGGAGACCAGCCTGGCCAACATGGTGAAACCCTGTCTCTACCAAAAAAATACAAAAATTAGCTGGGTGTGGTAGCGCATGCCTGTAATGCCAGCTACTTGGGAAGCTGAGACAGGAGAATTGCTTGAACCAGGGAGGCAGAGGTCGCAGTGTGCTGAGATCACTCCGCTGCGCTCCAACCAGGTGACAGAGCAAGACTCTGTCTTGAAAAAAAAAAAAAATTAAAAAATTAAAAAAATTTAAGAGATACTAAGCATAATTGTTCAGGCTAAAACATCAAACTGGGTAAAAAACAGAAAAAGTAAAATGATATATAAGTGAATATTGTTTACAAGTAATAGCATTTTGAGGGTTGTTAAAATGTTCGTAGAAGTAACATATTTGTTGACAAAAATAGCAAAAAGGAAGAGAGTAACAGAGTGAAATTGTTGGCCAGGGGCAGTGGCTCAAGCCTATAATCCCAGCAGGTGAGACCCTGTCTCTACCAAAATATATTATATATTTAAAACAGAAAAGAAAAAGCCTGATTAATCATTACTAAATAAATGCTGTTGGCCAAAAATTTTTAAACGCTTCAGTCATTTAGGGGGAAAAAAAGCTACGTGTTTCATTGTTATTCACCTAGATAAACAAGTCAAGATTAAAATTTATTTCCCTGAAGATAAACAAATAAGCTTGGGCCAGAATAACAAATCCCCATTCCCATTTCTACATCTTTAGTTTGCTCTCCTCTTCATTTGGAAGGAATTTAGGTCACAAAAGAACATTCCAGGACACAATTTCAAACTTGTGCTTCTTCTATTATTATGATAATCAGTTGTGTGATTCCAGCTGTCTAGAATGGTTTTGACAGAAATAAAAGTGAAATGCCTTCAAGAGAGCCAAACACATAGAAAGCACCAGGTAGATGGTAGCTAAAGAAATCCACAAAACAGAAACCTCCTTGCAGAGTAAAACAGGAGGAAAAAACCCCACAAAACCAGAAACTAATACTGTTAGCCTAGATTTAAAAACAAAACTCAACTATTTACAAGAGATAGTTTTAAATACACACACAGATAAATATATACAGATACGTTGAAATTAAAAGTAAGTAGAAAAATATACCAGGCAAATACTAATTAGAAGGAAGCTGTTATGACCATATTAATATCAGGCAGAGTAGATTTAACACAAAAAGCATTACCAAGGATTGAGAGAGACATGTGACAGTGCTAAAAAGGTTGACAGGGTTCAAGATATGCTACCCTAAAATATGGCACCTTGGCATTTGAGGAAACAGCAGAAACAGGTAGATCAGTCTCATTCTCCCCTTGCCCTTCTCCCCTCAAAGCAGACCAAAAAAGAAATTATCTGTCCTTCCTCTGAAGTAGGTCATAAAACCTTCCTTTCCGAGGTATTGTTCGTATACCCAGAGGAAAGGAACAACCTTATCCTTGAAGATGCAGAGATGCCACGAAGAATCTGAACGAACAGGCTAAGCTAAGTTCCCCTTAATTTATTACCATTAGATCATACCCCTTTTGCCCTCCAATCATACTTCTCCACAAACTATCCACTTCCTCATCAAACTTAGGCCAGGAGTTCAAGACCAGCCTGGCCAACATGGCGAAACCCTGTCTCTACTAAAAATACCAAAATTAGGCTGGGCGCGGTGGCTCATGCCTGTAATCCCAGCACTTTGGGAGGCCGAGGCAGGAGGATCATGAGGTCAGGAGATCAAGACCAGCCTGGCCAACATGGTGAAACCCCATCTCTACTAAAAATACAAAAATTAGCTGGGCATGGTGGCACACACCTGTAGTCCCAGCTACTCGGGAGGCTGAGGCAGGAGAATCGCATGAACCAGGGAGGCGGAGGTTGCAGTGAGCTGAGATTGCGCCACTGCATTCCAGCCTGGCGACAGAGCAAGACTCCATCTCAAAAAACAAAACAAAACAAAAAACCCCAAAAATTAGCCAGGCGTGGTGGCAGGTGCCTATAATCCCAGCTACTTGGGAGGCTGAGGGACGAGAATTGCTTGAACCCAGGAGGCAGAGGTTTCAATGAGCCAAGATCATGCCACTGCACTCCAGCCTAGGCAACAGAGTTGAGACTGTCTCAAAAAAACAAAACAAAACAAACAAACAAAAAACAAAAAAGGCCGGGCACTGTGGCTCACGCCTGTAATCCCAGCACTTTGGGAGGCCAAGGTGAGCGGACCACCTGAGATCAGCAGTTCGAGACCAGACTGGCCAACATGGCAAACCCTTTCTCTACTAAAAATACAAAAAAAATTAGCCAGGTGTGGTGATAGGCGCCTGTGATCCCAGTTACTCAGGAGTCTGGGGCAGGGAGAATTGCTTGAACCTGGGAGGCAGAAGTTGCAGTGAGCCGAGATCACACCACTGCACTCCAGCCTAGGCAACAGAGAGAGACTCCATCTCAAAAACAAAACAAAACAAAAAAGACAGAAAAAAATATAATATATATATATGTATATGTGTGTGTGTGTGTGTGTGTGTGTATAAAATAAAATATAAAATCACATGCATTTCTTTTGTTAATCTGTCTTTTGTTAAAGGGGTCTCAGCCATGAATCTAGGCAATGGGCGAAGAAAATCTTTTCTCCCCAACAAAGTCAATTAATCAGAAAAACACAATTTCATCTCTGCTGGACCCAATTATATAACTTTAAAATATATAAAGCAAACATTGACAGAAGTAAATAAGAAATAGACAAATCCATAATCATAGTTGGAGATTTTAGCACAACTTTCTTGGTAACTAATAAAATAAGCAGAAAAAACGGAAGAAAAACACAATTTTTTAATGATTCAGTCCAAAAGCCACCAAGCCATTAGTAGGACAGAACATGGGAGGCATCTATTTCAGAAATGCTGGGAGTTGTGGTGGCCCATATAAGAGCTGTCTAGTGTAGGATGTCAGAGGCCAAGTGGGGTGAGGAAAAATATCCAAGCTGGTGGGTAGGAGAAGAGTAGTCATGGCTTAGTAGCTTTTAAGGACAGTTTTACTTTTTTAAACCTGACATGAATGGAATCATAGTGTATGTGTTCTATAGCTTTATCTCTACATTATGTTTTTGGGACTCATCCATGTTTATGTGTGCAGCCATAGCAAATACTTTTTTTTTTTTTTTGAGATGGAGTCTCACTCTGTCACCCAGGCTGGAGTGCAGTGGTGTGATTTCAGCTCACTGCAACCTCCACCTCCTGGGTTCAAGCCATTCTCCTGCTTCAGCCTCCCAAGTAGCTGGGATTACAGGAGTGGGCCACCACACTCAGCTAATTTTTGTATTTTTTGTGGAGATGGGGTTTCACCATGTTGGCCAGGTTGGTCTTGAACTTCCGACCTCAAGTGATCCGCCCCCCCGCCCCCCCGGCCTCCCAAAGTGCTGGGATTTCAGGCCTGAGCCACCACGCCCAGCTGCAAATATTTTTTGATTACTGTCTTCCATTATAAAAATAATTATTCAGTCTACCTTTATGGGTAACAGTCCAAGTTTACATGGCTGAATCAGTCAGCTATTGCCCAGTAAAAATCACAACAGAGCAGGTTGTCCCAAGCAGAGTAAAAAAGCATTCATATGGAAGAGCAGTTGACTGCAGTGTGTCAGAACCAGACAGTGGTGAGGAGAGCATCTTAGAGGCAGCCCAGAATGTCAGTCTACCAAGCAGAGGAGGTCACTGGCATAGAGTCCTCAAGTCAAGCAGTGTGAGAGGGCATTCCAGTGAAGGGGTGCCCTGGGGTGATGATGTGTCAGAGAGCCTAGCAGGAAGAGGAGGGAATCCATATTGGAATTCAACAAGGAGAGTCAAAGCCCAAGCAGTGTGAGGAAGGCTTACATGTGGGGTAGGAGGCAGCAGTGGAAAAAGGACATTGGTCACATATAGGAAAACTGATTAAATAAATGTGTTAATTATAACTGGAGCCAGGCCTTGCACTGTAGAAGTTAGTTACAAATATGGAAAGGAGAAAATTAGAACAATCCTTATATAGATATTTTTTGAGACAAGGTCTGGTTCTATTGCCCAGGCTGGAATGCAGTGGTGCAATCACAGCTTATTGCAGCCTCAACCTCCCCAGGGTACAGGTGATCCTCCTACTTCAGCCTCCCGAGTATCTGAGACCACAGGTGAGTGCCACCACGTCTGGCAACTTTTTGTGTTTTTTGTAGAGATAGAGTTTCACCATGTTGCCCAGACTGGTTTTGAACTGCTAGGCTCCAGTGATCTGCCCGCCTTGGCCTCCCAAAGTGCTGGGATTACAGGTATGAGCCACCACGCCTGGCCCTACCAGACTGAAAGTGGATGTATCTACGTGGATTCACGGTTTTTGATATATAAAAATATAGAAATAAGGCCGGGTGTGGTGGCTCATGCCTGTAATCCTAGCACTTTGGGAGGCCGAGGCAGGTGGATCGCTTGAGTCCAGGAGTTTGAGACCAGCCTAGGCAACAGGGTGAAACCCCCTCTCTATTAAAAGTATAAAAACTGAGGAGGATCACCTGAGTCTGGGGAGGTGGAGGCTGCAGTGATCTGTAATTATACCACTACACTCCAACCTGGGAGACAGAGTGAGACCCTGTCTCAAAAAAAAAAAAAAAGGAATAAATACAGATATAAACTTAAGTGCATATATATACATACACACACACACACACACATATGTATATGTATAGGTTTTTTGTGTGTGTCTTTGTTGATTTTGGTATCAGGGTAATGCTGGCCTCATAGAATGAGTCTGGAAGTATCCCCTCTTCAATTTTTGAAATAGTTTTCTTTTTGGCGTGTGTGTGTGTGCGTGTGCACACAAACAATTCTTTTCAAACAGAGGGCCTGGAAGCAGTGGTATCCTGATAAGCAATAAGCATATCTAGTACCCAGATCCTGGATTGTCAATACCGCTGTCCACTAAAAAGAACTAGGGATTCCTGGAAAAGCGTAGAATGAACTTGAAAAAAAATTTTGTGCTGAAAACAAGGAAATGTTCAAGAATTATGGGACCATTTCAAAATAACACAGGAATCAGTTTAAAGGACGTCTCACAAACTGTACCTGAGACAATGTGCATATCAAAATAAATAATGATGGTAAGAGTTCATAAACTATTGAATAAAATAGCAAACTATGAGTAGGTATAGACACAAATCAATCAATCAATCAATCTGAGGTCTTGTGAGCAACATAAGTATCCTATTTCAAAGTCCTTCCCACTAAATACAGATTAATTACAAAGGGAAAATGAGTAACTTTACAGTAAAGGACTCTGGTAGACACCACTTTAATCGAGTGTCAAATTTAACATCATCATAATGGGACAAATGTAAATGATGCCACCTGTTGGAATACAATGAGAGGTACAAAGCATTAGTTCTGTCACACCCCTGCCAAAATTAGTGACCTAAATATAATCATGAGGAAGCATCAAACAAAACAAATTGGCTTGTAATATTTTAAAAAGTCAAGGTTATAAAAATCAAAGGAAGACAAGGAACTATTTCAAACTGAGATACGACAACTAAGTGCAATGTGTAATTCTGAATGGCCTTTTGCTATAAAGGAAGGTATTAGATAAAATGGAAAACCCTGAATTAGGGTCTATTAGTCGATACAAGCGTATTAAGGTTAAGTTTCCTGATTTAAATGGCTGTATTGTGGTTATGTGGGAGAAGTTCCTTGTTTACAGATAATCTATACCTAAGTATTTCAAGTGATGGGTCATCAGACTGGCACTAACTCTTGAATGCTTAGGGAGAAAAGTTTTTTCTTTCTTTTTTTTTTTTTTTTTGAGATGGAGCCTCACTCTGTCACCCTGGCTGGACTGCAGTGGCACGATCCCAGCCCACTACAACCTCTGCCTCCCAGGTTCAAGTGATTCTCCTGCCTCAGCCTCCTGAGTAGCTGAGATTACAGACATACGCCACGACGGCCAGCTAATTTTTTGTATTTTTAGTAGAGATGGGGTTTTACCATTTTGGTCAGGCTGGTCTCAAACTCCTGACCTTGTGATCTGCCTGCCTCGGTCTCCTAAAATGCTGGGATTATAGGCGTGAGCCACTGCACCTGGCCAAGAAAAGTTCTTTATATTGTTCTTGAACATTTTCTGTAAGTTTTTTTTGTTTTTTTTTTTTTTGAGATGGAGTCTCGTTCTGTCCCCCAGGCTGGAGTGCAGTGGCGCGATCTCGGCTTAATGCAAGCTCCACCTCCCAGGTTCACGCCATTCTCCTGCCTCAGCCTCCCGAGTAGCTGGGACTACAGGCACTTGCCACCACGCCCGGCTAATTTTTTGTATTTTTAGTAGAGATGGGGTTTCACCGTGCTTGCCAGGATGGTCTCCATCTCCTGACCTCGTAATCTGCTCACCTCGGCCTCCCAAAGTGCTGGGATTACAGGCGTGAGCCACCGTGCCAGGTCCTTTTTCTGTAAGTTTTTGCTGGTTTGAAATTCAGAGTAATTATTTGGAAATAAGCAAAACAATTTAGTCTATTTTAGCAATACATATATACTAGGTAAAGCTATAAATAAAAGCAGCAAATTATCAACACAAATTTAGGACAGTGGTTATTTACCTCTTCCACAGAAGAAGAGACATGATCACAGAAAGACACATAAGGTATACTGATAAGAATCTATGTTTTGAGGTAGGTGGTACATATGTATTTTATTCTTATTCTTTTAACTCTCTCCCTATATTTGTTATTTATCTGTACCACATTTCCTGAAAAAAAATTTTTTTAAAAAAAGAAAAATTACATATGCTATATATGACATGTTTCTATTTTTAATTAAAACAAAACAAACTTTTTTTTTTTCCTTTTGAGACAGGGTCTTGCTCTGTCACCCAGGCTGGGGTACAGTGGTGAGATCATGGCTCATCACAGCCTCAACCTCCGGGGCTCAGGTGATTCTCCCACCTCAGCCTCCTGAATAGTCCCCAGCCTCCCAAATTGCTGGGACTACAAGAATGAGCCACGACACCCAGCCAAAAAAAAGCTTTTAAGAAGGCTGGGCACGGTGGCTCATGCTTGTAATCCCAGCACCTTGGGAGGCCGAGGTGGGTGGATCACCTGAGGTCAGGAGTTTGAGACCAGCCTGGGCAATATGGCAAAACCCCATCTCTACTAAAAATACAAAAATTAGCCAGGCATGGTGGCACGTGCCTGTAATCCCAGCTACTCAGGAGGCTGAGGCAGGAGAATCGCTTGAACCCGGGGGATGAAGGTTGCAGTGAGCTGAGATCGTGCCACTGCACTCCAGCCTGGGTGGCAGAAGACCCCGTCTCAAAAAAAAAAAAAAAGCTTTTAGGAAGAGATAAAAGACTGGAAAAATGCATCAAACTGATACTATTGATTATCTCTGAGTGGTGGAATTCATATTAACTTCAATTTCTTTTAATGTTTTTCTGTATTTTCATTCTTTCACTATAATTGACAGAAGGATATGCATATAATGCTAATGACTAATTTAAAACATTAAAAATAATTCTTTTATAATTATGCATCTACTTAAACAGAAAAATGAATCAAATGATGAGAATGAAAATCCTAAAACAGACTGAAAATACTTCATTATTATTACTATTATTATTATTATTATTTTTTGAGATGGAGTCTTGCTCAATCGCTCAGGCTGGGGTGCAGTGGCGCAATCTCGGCTCACTGCAAGCTCCGCCTTCCGGGTTCACGCCATTCTCCTGCCTCAGCCTCCAGAGTAGCTGGGACTACAGGCGCCCACCACCACGCCCGGCTAATTTTTTTTGTATTTTTAGTAGAGACAGGGTTTCACCGTGTTAGCCAGGATGGTCTCGATCTCCTGACCTCGTGATCCACCCGTCTCGGCCTCCCAAAGTGCTGGGATTACAGGTGTGAGCCACCGTGCCCGGCCAACTTCATTACTGTTATTGTTATGATTATTTTTATTTTTTGAGACAGGGTCTCAATGTCACCCAGGCTTGCAGTGTAATGGTGCAATTCGGCTCACTGCAGTCTCTACCTCCTGGGCTCAAGCAATTCTCCTCCCAAGTAGCTGGGACTACGGATGTGCATCACCATGTTCAGCTAATTTAAAAAAATTTTTTTGTAGACACGAGGTCTCACTATATGGCCCAGGCTGATCTTGAACTCCTGAGCTCAAGTGATCCTCCTGCCTTGGCCCCTCAAAGTGCTGGGATTACAGGCATGGGCCATTGCACCTGGCCTACCTCATTCAATGTTTAAAAATACCCATTATCAGCTGGGCACGGTGGCTCGCGCCACTCTACTCCAGCCTGGGTGACAGAGTGAGACCTTGCCTCAAAAAAAAAAAAAAACTGTCTAGACATAATTATGTTTAGAGAACTATTTATTAAAATGTTTGGCCAGGCTGGTCGAGGTGGCTCACTCCTGTAATCCTAGCACTTTGGGAGGCCAAAGCGGGCAGATCACTTGAGGTCAGAAGTTTGAGACCACCCTGGCCAAACTCCTGGTGAAACCCCGTCTCTACTAAAAATACAAAAATTAGCCGGGCTTGGTGGTGCAAACCTGTAATCCCAGCTACATTGGACGCTGAGGCAGGACAATCACTTGAAGCTGGGAGGCAGAGGTTGCAGTGAGCTGAGATCGTGCCACTACACTCCAGCCTGGGCAACAGAGCGAGACTCCGACTCAAAAAAATAAATAAATAAATAAAATGCTTGGCAGGATGCGATGGCTCATGCCTGTAATCCCAGCACTTTGGCAGGCTAAGGCAGGACGATGAATTCAGTCCAGGAGTTTGAGACCAGTGTGGGCAACACAGTGAGACTCCCTTTCTACAAAACAATTTTTAAAATTAGCTGGCAATAAATAAAAATTAAAAAAAAAAAGTTAGCTGGGCATGGTGGCATGTGGCTGTAGTTCTACAACTCAGGAGGCTGAGGTGGGAGGATTGCTTGAATCCAGGACTTCAAGACTGCAGTGAGCTATGACTGTGCCACTGCACTCTGGCCTGGGCAACAAAGAAAGATTCTATCTCTAAAAAATAAACTGTTGACTGAACCAAAAAGAAAAAATGAAATTTTAACTTGGTGAAAAAATATCAAATACTGAAATTGAAGACTCACCTATGAGTAATGTTAAATTTCTGGACAATCCTTTTTCCATTGGCCAACCAGATCTGTATATTAGTAATGGGTTCCAAGTTGTTCAGTGGAACAGCAGACAAATTATTTTTATTTTCAACTTCAATATTCTTTGCTTTAGAAACAATTTTTGGTGTGGCACTAAGGAAATCCAGACAACAAAGTTAGACGTTTTTTCCATTCAATAAAACTTTATTATTAAATAATTACTATAAAAATATTATAGCAAGTATAACTTTAAGGAAGATTTTTTAAGTTATATGTGTTTCTTCAGTAATAACAGAAAGATATATTATTTATGTCCACAATATATGATGGTTCTAAGAATCTGATGAAGTTATACATATCTGAGTAATTTGTAAGCTACATATATTATTACTGGTATTATTTGAGTAGTGCTTTACAGAATGGATAATTTTAAAGAAGGTTCATAGATCTATGGACTTTACCTTTACCTACTGCCCAGGTTAAATTTCTAGAAGAAATTATAAGTTCTTTATTGAGCTTAGTCCTTAGGTTATAATGAAAAAGAAACTAAATAAAGTACTTCCTGATCATTCTGAAGGATGCATCCAGATATATTTGTATGTGTGGATGAATATGTATGCACCTTACCAATCTTGATAATTTAAAATATGAGAATTTATAAAAATCAAAGAGCTCTCATATCTATATAATCTCTCTGCATATTCTGTTAGATAGGATGGAAACTGTAAAACTTGAAAATAATTTAAGGCTTTGATACTGACACTGATTTTCATTTTTATTACCTCAAAATTCATACATAGATCACAGAACAAAATGTTGCAGACAGTGGTAACCATAAAAGAGAACAATAGGCTGGGTGCGGTGGCTCACACCTGTAATCCCAGCACTTTGGGAGGCCGAGGTGGGTGGATCACCTGCGGTCAGGAGTTCAAGACCAGCCTGGCCAACATGGCGAAACCCTGTCTCTACTAAAAATACAAAAATTGGCTGGGCGTGGTGGTGTATGCCTGTAATCCCAGCTACTAGAGGGGCTGAGGCAGGAGGATTGCTTGAACCAGGGAGGCAGAAGTTGCAGTGAGCCAAGATCATGCCACTGCACTCCAGCCTGGGCAACAAAGTGAGGCTCTGTCTCAAAAAAAAGAGAACAATAATATTCAAAAGCTAGTACATGTACTCTACAGTGGTGAGTGCAAGGGACACAAAAGAACTTAACTATTGAATTCTGTCCTTAATAAGCCAAGCCCTTTTGATTTGAAAAAAAGAAAAACAAAAAAGCCTGCATGATTTTTTACTGTATTGCTGGCATTTCTTTTTTTTTGAGACAGAGTTTCACTCTTGTTGCCCAGACTGGAGAGCAATGGCGCGATCTCGGCTCACCGCAATCTCTGCCTCCCAGGTTCAAGCGATTCTCCTGCCTCAGCCTCCCGAGGAGCTGGGATTACAGACACATGCCACCACGCCTGGCTAATTTTTTGTATTTTTAGTAGAGACGGGGTTTCTCCATGTTGGTCAGGCTGGTCTCGAACTCCCGATCTCAGGTGATCCGCCCACCTTGGCCTCCCAAAGTGCTGGGATTACAGGCATGAGCCACTATGCCTGGCCAGGCATTGTTAATATATACTTAGGTAACTATGACTTATGTGTCCTCATAAAAATTAACATTAAAAAAAATCTGATTTCCAATGGGAGAAATGATAAGCTCCATTCATGTGGTCTACATGGGTAAAATACTGATAGACAGAATATTAGTTAAGCCTTGATCTATGCAAAACAAGACAATAGGCATATTTACCTTCCTAGTCTGTGACCCTGTCCTGAAAAGGGCTGGAACACAGGCTTCGTAGACAAACATATTTCATTTTTCTTGTCTTCAACTTTAACGTCCACCTCTTCTTTATCAAAAATTCCCTGTAATTCTGAAGGTAATTCCCTTGGAAAACAAAGAAAGAAAATGATAAAGCTCCCAATGTATTTTATTTCTCTGAAAAACATTCTGTACATACAAAAAATGAATATGTAGAAATATACAGAAATATATAATATTCTATACAATGAAATAACTAAATGTATTCAAAACAATGTAGTTAAATAATATGAATACCAAAAACCCACAGGAATATAATTTTTAAGACCATAAGCTCATGAACAGCATCAGTTTTTATTATTTTTTATTGTGAAAGCATATATTTTTTAAATTTTCTGTAGAGACAGGGTCTTGTCCAGGCTGGTCTTGAACTCCTGGGCTCAAGCAATCTTCCTCCCTCAGACTCCCAAAGTGCTGGGATTATAGGCGTGAACCACTGCCCCCCAACCAGCATGAGTTTTATAGCAGTACCTAAAATAGTACTAAAGTCATGAAATACTTGATGACTATATACTACACCAGGCTTGTCCAATCTGTGGCCTAGGACGGCTTTAAATGTGGCCCAACAAAAATTTGTAAACTTTTTTTTTTTTTTGAGACGGAGTCTTGCTCTGTCGCCCAGGCTGGACTGCAGTGGCACGATCTCGGCCCACTGCAAGCTCCGCCTCCCGGGTTCACGCCATTCTCCTGCCTCAGCCTCCTAAGTAGCTGGGACTACAGGCGCCTGCCACCACGCCCAGTTAATTTTTTTTTTTTTGGTATTTTTAGTAGAGATGGAGTTTCATCGTGTTAGCCAGGATGGTCTCGATCTCCTGACCTTGTGTTCTGCCCGCCTCAGCCTCCCAAAGTGCTGGGATTACAGGTGTGAGCCACCGTGCCTGGAAAACTTTCTTAAAACATTATGAGATTTATGAGACTTTTTTGCAATTTTTTTAAAGCTTATCAGCTATCGTCAGTATTAGTGTATTTTAGTATTTTATGTGTGCCCCAAGACCATTCTTCTTCCAATGTGGCCCAGGGAAGCCAAAAGACTGGATATCTCTGTTAAATAAATAATTTGAGTTTCTTGTTTTTGGGACAGGGTCTCATTCTGTTTCCCAGGCTGGAGTGCAGTGGTGCAATCATGGCTCCCTGCAGCCTTGACCTCCTGGGCTGAAGCGATCCTCCTGCCTCAGACTCCTGAGTAGCGGGGACTATAGGCCACCATGCCCGGCTAATTTTTGTATTTTTTGTAAAGATGGGGTTTCACCATGTTGCCCAGGCTGGTCCTGAGCTCCTAGGCTCAAGTGATCTGCCCACCTCAGCCTCCCAAAGTGTTGGGATTACAGGTGTGAGCCACCACGCCCGGCCAAAGGACAAATTTTAACAAATTCTAATAAAGTAGTTGATTTATTCTGAAAACGGAAATAATACAAATTCATTTAGTATATATTTATGATTTCTGCACTTTTCTATTTTTTTTTTTTTTTTTTTTTTTTTTTTTTTAGATAGGAGCTCACTCTGTTGCCCAGGCTGGAGTCCAGTGGCAACAACATGGCTCACTGCAGCTGCGACCTCTTGGGCTCAAGCGATTCTCCCATCTTAGCTTCCCAAGTAGCCAGGACTATAGGTGTGTGCCACCACGGGTGATTTTTTTAGGTTTTTTTTTTTTTTTTTTTGTAGAGACAGGTTCTCGCTATGTTGGCCGGACTGGTTTAATTCCTGGGATCAAATGATCCTCCTGCCTTGGCCTCCGAAGGTGTTGAGATTACAGGCATTAACCACTACACCTGGCCTACCTGGCCTGTACCTTTGTGTATATAAGCCATACTTCAATAAGAAAGTTTAAAAAATATTTTAGTGAATAAATACCACTGTATACATATAGCAATTCTAGGTAATTGTTTTATTTTTTTCTGTTTGAGTTAAAAGGCACTCAAAGAATGAGAGAAAATATTCGCAAATCATGTATCTGATAAGGAATTTGTATTCAGAAAAAATGAAGAATTCTTACAACTTAACAAAAAGGCAAATAAACCACCTGAAAATATAAACAGGCTGAGCACGGTGGCTCATGCCTGTAATCCCAGCACTGTGAAAGGCCGAGGCGGGTGAATCACGTGAGATCAGGAGTTCAAGACCAGCCTGGCGAACATGGTAAAACCCTGCCTCTACTAAAAAACAAAAATTAGCCGGATGTGGTGGTACATGCCTGTAATTCCAGCTACTTGGGAGGCTGAGGCAGAAGAATCACTTGAACCTGGGAGGCGGAGGTTACAGTGAGCCGAGATCATGCCACTGCACTCCAGCCTCGCCGACAGAGCAAGACTCTGTCTCAAAAAAACAAACAAACAAACAAATAAAAAAACTGGACAGAGGATTTGAACAGGAATTTCTCCAAAGAAGATGTACGAATGGACAATAAGCACATGAAAAGACACTCAACATCACTGGTCATTAGAGAAATGTAAATCAAAACCAGAATGACATACCCCTTTACAACCACTAAAATGGCTATAATTTAAAAAAACAGAAGCTAATGTGTTAGGATGTGGAAAAACTGGAAGCCTCATACATAGCTGGTAGAAATGTTAAATGGTACAGTCACTTTGGAATACATTTGGGCAGTTCTTCATAAAGTTAATATAAGAGTTAACAATTCCACTCCTAGATTTATACCTGAGAGAAATGAAAACATATGACCACACAAAAACTTGTATATAAATGTTCATAGTAGCATTATTCATAATAGCCCAAAATGTGAAAATGAGTAGAACAGGTAAATACATAGTGACAGAAATCCATAGAGATAGACAGAAAGTAGATTCATGGTTATGTTAGGGCTGCAGGGGAAAATGGAGAGTGACTTCTAGTATCTGATTTTTTTTTCTTTCAGCAATATATTCGGCTTTTTCAATAATGATATTCTGAAATTAGATTGTGCTGATGATTGTAAAACTGTAGACATATTAAAAATACTTAACTATATACTTCAAAGGGATGAATTTTATGGTAGGTTAATTATATCTAAACATAGCTGGGTTTTTTTTTTTACATAAATAAAAGAAAATAGTCAAAAATATTTTTCATAGTGGTAAAATTTAAAATACTTGGCTGGGCGTGGTGGCTCACGCTGGTAATCCCTGCAATTTGGCAGATCGAGGCAGGAGGATTGCTTGAGATCAGGAGTTTGAGACCAGCCTGGGTAACACAGCAAGACCTCATCTTTACTAAAAATTAAAAAAAATTAGCTGGGCATGGTGACATACACCTATCGTTCCAGCTATTTGGGAGGCGGAGGTAGGAGGACCACTTGAGACGGGGAGTTTGAAGCTGCAATGAACTATGATCGTGCCACTGCACTCCAGCCTCAAAAAACATAATAACAAAAAACTCTATGTTGCCAAGAACAATTAAGTATATATAAAAATTACGGGGCACTGTTGTGATAAAATAATACTCAGATATATTCAAATATTTTATAATGATGAATTTAAAATTGTTTTAAAAATAAATGTACACATAGTATATATGCATCTATGGACAGAAAATGATAAAATGAAATTCAACAAAAATGTTAACAGCAGTTACTTCAGAGTGGTTAAATTATAAGTGATTTTTAAGTTCTTTTTTTTTTTGAGACAGAGTCTCGCTCTGTCGCCCAGGCTGGAGTGCAGTAGCATGATCTCAGCTCACTGCAACCTCTGCCTCCTGGGTTCAAGCAATTCTCCCTGCCTCAGCCTCCTAAGTAGCTGGGATTACAGGCGCCTGCTACCATGCCCGGCTAATTTTTGTATTTTTTAGTAGAGATGGGGTTTTCCCATGTTGGCCAGGATGGTCTTGAACTCCTGACCTCAGGTGATCCACCCACCTTGGCTACCCAAAGTGCTGGGATTAGGTATGAGCCACCATGCCTGGCTGATTTTCGAGTTCTTAATACTTAAAAAAATTTTCTAGACCAAGCATGTATAATACTTAGATTCATAAATATATAGTAAACATTGCAATTTTTTTTTTTTTGAGATGGAATCTGGCTCTGTTACCCAGGCTGGGGTGCAGTGCTGTGATCTTGGCTCACCACAGCCTCTGCGTCCTGGGTTCAAGCAATTCTCCTGCCTCAGCCTCCCAAGTAGCTGCGACTAACAGGCACGTGCCACGATGCGTGGCTAATTTTTGTATTTTTAGTAGAGACGGGGTTTCACTATGTTGGCCAGGCTGGTCTTGAACTCCTGACCTCGTGATCCACCCGCCTCCGCCTCCCAAAGTGCTGGGATTACAGGCGTAAGCCCCCGTGCCCAGCTACAATTTTTTTTCTTTAAAACAAAATTTTTTTTTTTTTGAGACGGAGTCTTGCTCTGTTGCCCAGGCTGGAGTGCAGTGGCGTGATCCTGGCTCACTGCAAGCTCCGCCTCCCAGGTTCAAGCCATTCTCCTGCCTCAGCCTCCCAAGTAGCTGGGACTACAGGTGCCCGCCACCACACCTGGCTAATTTTTTTGTATTTTCAGTAGAGACAGAGTTTCACCGTGTTAGCCAGGATGGTCTCGATCTCCTGACCTCGTGATCTGCACGCCTCGGCCTCCCAAAGTGCTGGGATGACAGGCATGAGCCACTGTGCCCGGCAGATTCTTTTAAAATTTTTATTCATGAATCGGGCAGCCTCCCAAGCCAGAGTAGGGTCAGAGAGACTTCTACCATGACCATTTTAAAGACTTTAAAGATATTTAAACATTTAAACAAAATTAAATAATAAAGAAAATGAGGTATTAGAAAATACTTAGTAAAGTAAATTAGTTTAAGTAAGATTTGGGTTGATCAGAATTCAAGTTCCTAAACTTTCTTCAAAATTATATTTGTTGGCCAGGCGTGGTGGCTCACACCTGTAATCTCAGCAATTTGGGAGGCAGAGGTGGGCAGATCACTTGAGGTCAGGAGTTCAAGACTAGCCTGGCCAACATGGTGAAACTGTTATTAAAAAATACAAAAATTAGATGGGCATGGTGGCACACACCCGTAATCTCAGCTACTCGGGAGGCTGAGGCACAAGAATCACTTGACCCCAGTAGGCGGAGGCTGCAGTGAGCTGAGATCATGTCACTGTATTCCAGCCTGAGCAAAAGAGCAAGACTCCATCTCGGGAAAAAAAAAATTGTAGTTGTGGTTCTCTTAAGAAAATTCATCTTATAAAAATGTGAATGTACAAAAGAAAAAGTATATCTGTGAATGTGTAGGGAGTGTGTGAACATTAAAATGGATTCTTTCACCAAAACAATGCCTAAAATATCTTCTGATTACAAAGATTACTCATTCCAGCTCGTTGTTTTTTTTGTTTTGCTTTGGTTTTGAGATGGAGTTTTGCTCTTGTTGTCCAGGCTGGAGTGCAATGGTGCAATCTTGGCCCACTGCAACCTCCGCCTCTCGGGTTCAAGTGAATTCCTGCCTCAGACTCCCAAGTAGCTGGGATTACAGGCATGTGCCACCACACTCGGCTAATTTTGTATTTTTAGTAGAGATGGGGTTTCTCCATGTTGGTCAGGCTGGTGTCTCGAACTCCCAACCTCAGGTGATCTCCCCATCTCAGCCTCCCAAAGTGCTGGGATCACAGGCATGAGCCACCAAGCCCACCCCCACCCCCCCGACCCCCGCCTTTTTTTTTTTGGAGACAGGGCATCGTGCTGTTGCCCAGGCTGGAGTGCAGTAGTGCAAGCATGGCTCACTGTAGCCTCAGTCTCCCAAGTGCAAGCAATCCTGAGTAGCTGGGCTGGCTGGTAATTTTCTTTTTTTAAGTAGAGATGAGGTCTGGCTATGTTCCCCGGCTGGCCTTGAACTCCTGAGCTCAGGCAATCCTCTCGCCACAGCCTGCCAAAGTTTTGGGTTTACAGGCTTGACCTACCACACCTGGCTACTCACCCCTTTTTGATGGAGTTCAAAAACTGCTGACTGGCACCATCGGAATAACTTCTGAAATCGTCGTTGACGGTGAATCCGTTTTTCCATAATTTTATATTTACATCTACCTGCAAAACAGTAGGAAACAAAATGCGTCATGTTAATAAAATGTAGTAGGATTGAAAGTCCTTTGAAAATTTCTTCTATCACTATTCAGGCCGGGTGGGGTGGTTCACTCCTGTAATCCCAGCACTTCGGGAGGCCAAGACAGGAGGACTACTTGAGCCTAGGAGTTGGAGACCAGCCCTGGCAACATAGCGAGACCCAGTTTCCACAAAAAATCAAAATCATTGATATGGTTTGGCTGTGTCCTCACCAAAATCTCAAGTTGAATTGTATCTCCCAGAATTCCCGTGTGTTGTGGGAGGGACCAAGGGGGAGGTAATTGAATCACGGGGGCCCGTGTTTCCCATGCAATTCTTGTGATAGTGAATAAGTCTCACGAGATCTGGTGGGTTTATCAGGAGTTTCCACTTTTGCTTCTTGCTCATTTTCTCCTGCTGATGCCATGATTATGAGACCTCCCCAGCCATGTGGAACTAAGTCAAATTAAATTTCCTTTCTTCCCAGTCTCGGGTATGTCTTTATCAGCAGCGTAAAAATGGACTACTACAACTGGCTTCATAAACATTAAAATATAAGGGGGAAGCGATGTTGGGCGAGGCACAGAATTGAGTAATCAGGAGAGAGAATACTCAGGATCATAGATTCCAGAGCAAGAGCAGTAGAGCTCCCCTAGTCGACAACCAATCCACTGAAGGAAGAAGGGTTTCACCGCAATCTTCCCTTAGAAAAATTTTAACTGGTGGGCCAGGCGCGGTAGCTCCCGCTTATGCTGTACAGTATTTACACTTTTACAGATATAAATAACAATTGATTTAATCCCCAATTGTGACACAACTATGTTAGAAGAATGGGAAGAGGTGATCTGAGGAGAGGGGGAAGGTAGAAAAAGAGCTAAATCCTTATTATGTATAATACGAAGTGAATACATAATTCAAAAATCTGAAAAATCAATAACTATCACTATTAGCATATTATCAGAAACAGAAAGCTCATGTCAGTAGAAATATCTAAGAGTTATAAGCTGTTGCCTCTGGAAAGTAGATGTGGCCAGATGTGGTGGCTCACGCCTGTAATCCCAGCACTTTGGGAGGCCAAGGCAGGTGGATCACCTGAGGTCAGGAGTTCAAGACCAGCCTGACCAACATGGAGAAACCCCGTCTCTACTAAAAATACAAATTAGCCAGGCATGGTGGTGCATGCCTGTAATCCCAGGCTGAGGTAGGAGAATCGCTTGAACCCAGGAGGTGGAAGCTGTGGGGAGATGAGATCGCACCACTGCACTCCAGCCTGGGCAACAGTAGTGAAACGCCATCTTAAAAAAACGAAAAAAGAAAGTAGATGCTAGGGTCAAGGAGTAATAAGTCTGCTTTTTAACATAAGCCTTTTTTCAACATAAGCCTTTCACAACTAATAGATTAAGTTTTAATTTAAAAAGCGAATCAGAGTGAAAGGATTTTTCACAAACACTTTTTAAAATGTCTCACGTCAAAAAATCAGCTGGGGTCTCATAATTGGTACCGCTCTCAGTCTGCTTTGACATGTTATTTTGATTGAAATGTTTTTTTTAATAACCAAACCTCATACAGTTATGTAGTTAGAAAAAGAAGTATTTTAATAGCCTTCCCAGGATAATCTTCTTTGACACTTCTTCAAAATGTAATAAGTAGTAGTAGTATCTCAAAAGTTAGTTGAGAATCTGAATGTGGAATCTGAAACTTACCAACCATCTTTTCATATACTTGTTACGTTAAAGTCTTTTAGTATATGTGATTCTTTGGCTCTTTTACTCATGCATCACTGTATAACATCATATATTGCTCATTTGGAAAATACTGGTTTTCTTGATTATGCAGATCTTCCAACTGCTGACACATTTAATTATATAAAAAAATTTATATTTATCAAAATGACACTAATCTCACTAGGAAATTCCTTAAGTTTTGAGAAGCTGTCAAGGTATGGTTGCTTTCTTTTTCTTTTCTTTTTTTTTTTTTGAGACAGTCTTGCTGTGTTACCCAGGCTAGAGTGCAGTGGCACGATCTTGGTTCACTGCGAGCTCCGCCTCCCTGGTTCAAGTGATTCTCATGCCTTAACCTCCTGAGTAGCTGAGATTACAGGCGTGCATCACCAAGCTCAGCTAATTTTTGTATTTTTTAGTAGAGAAAGAGTTTCAGCACGTTAGCCAGGCTGGTCTTGAACTCCTGGCCTCAAGTGATTCACCCACCTTGGCCTCCCAAAGCTATGAGATTACAGGCGTAAGCCACCAAGCCCAGCCTATAGTGGCAATTTTCTAAAAGTCTTATTTTCACTTAAAAAGTTGGTTAAGGCCAGGCGCGGTGGCTCGCGTCTGTAATCCCAGCACTTTGGGAGGCCGAGGCAGGCGGATCATGAGGTCAAGAGATCGAGACCATCCTGGCTAACATGGTGAAATCCTGTCTCTACTAAAAATACAAAAAAATTAGCCAGGCGTGGTGGCGGGTGCCTGTAGTCCCAGCTACTCAGGAGGCTGAGGCAGGAGAATGGTGTGAACCCGGGAGGCGGAGCTTGCAGTGAGCCGAGATCACGCCACTGCACTCCAGCCTGGGCGACAGAGCGAGAGTCCGTCTCAAAATAAAAAAAAAAAAAGTTGGTTAAATAAAAATTTATCATTTTTTGGCCAGGCACGGTGGCTCAAGTCTGTAATCCTAGCACTTTGGGAGGCTGAGGCGGGCGGATCACGAGGTCAGGAGATCAAGACCATCCTGACTAACAGGGTGAAACTCCGTCTCCACTAAAAATACAAAAAAAAATTAGCCAGGTGTGGTGGTGGTCACCTGTAGTCCCAACTACTCAGGAGGCTGAGGCAGGAGAATGGCATGAACCCAGGAGGCGGAGCTTGCAGTGAGCCGAGATCGCACCACTGCACTCCAGCCTGGGCGACAGAGCGAGACTCCGTCTCAAAAAAAAAAAAAAAATTAATCATTTTCAACAGCTACTATAAGTTGTTTTCCTTGAAGTGCCAGGCTCACTTCATTCATTATTAGAAAATATCTACCAGGCAGGGCCGGGCACGGTGGCTCATGCCTGTAATCCCAGCACTTTGGGAGGCTGAGGTGGGTGGATCACCAGGTCAGGAGTTTGAGACCAGCCTGTCCAACATGGTGAAACCCCGTCTCAACTAAAATGCAAAAATTAGCTAGGCGTGGTGGTGCATGCCTGTAATCCCAGCTACTGGGGAGGCTGAGGCAGGAGAATGGCTTGAATCCAGAAGGCAGAGGTTGCAGTGAGCCAATTGTGCCACTGCACTCCAGCCTGAGTGACAGAGCAAGACTCCATCTCAAAAAAAAAAAAAGGCTGGACACAGTGGCTCACGCCTGTAATCCAAGTACTCTTTGGGAGGCTGAGGCGGGCAGATCACGAGGTCAGGAGATTGAAACCATCCTGGCTAACACTGTGAAACCCTGTCTCTACTAAAAATACAAAAAATTAGCCAGGTGTGGTGGCGGGCGCTTGTAGTCCGGGCTACTCGGGAGGCTGAGGCAGGAGAATGGCATGAACCTGGGAGGCGGAGCTTACAGTGAGCAGAGATCGCACCACTGCACTCCAGCCTGGGCGACACAGCGAGACTCTGTCTCAGAGAAAAAAAAAAAAGAAAAAAAGAAAATATCTACCAGGCCAGGTGCGGTGGCTCACGCTTGTAATCCCAGAACTTTGGGAGGCTGAGGTGGGCAGATCACAAGGTCAGGAGTTCGAGACCAGCCTGACCAACATGATGAAACCCTGTCTCTACTAAAAATACAAAAAATTAGCTAGGCATGGTGGTGCGCACCTGTAATCCCAGCTATTAGGGAGGCTGAGGCAGGAGAATGGCTTGAACCTGGGAGACAGAGCTTGCAGTGAGCTGAGATCGTGCCATTGCACTCCAGCCTGGGTGACAGAGTGAGTTGGAATATCCATAGTCTGTATGTAAACCATTCTTTCTTGCAGAAACAATATGCCATGAAAAAGCAGACAGTTTATTGATCTCAAATAACTGCACCTTTCCTTGAGACACTTCTGTATATTGTAGAAATACTTTATGTATACTTCACATTTTGTCACACAGAATATTACCATGTGTATTCAAGGTTTGAGATATAAAATTAATTAATTAATTTATTTATTTATTTTGAGACCAAGTCTAGCTCTGTCGCCCAGGCTGGAGTGCAGTGGCGCAATCTCAACTCACTGCAACCTCCGCCTCCCAGGTTCACGCGATTCTCCTGCCTCGGCCTCCTGAGTAGCTGGGATTACAGGCACGCACCACCACACCCGGCTACTTTTTGTATTTTTAGTAGAGACAGGGTTTCACCATGTTGATCAGGCTGATCTTGAACTCCTGACCTCGTGATCCACCCGCCTCAGCCTCCCAAAGTGCTGGGATTACAGGCATGAGCCACCGCGCCCGGTCAAGAAACAAAATTTATAAATTCTACTGCATCAAGGACATTCTTAATTAAAATTAGTTTTTTTTTCCCCTTGGAAGTATACGCAAAGAATAAAGTACAGGTTGAATATCCCTTATCTGAAATGCTTGCGACCAGAGGGTTTTGAATTTCAGATTCTGAAATATTTGCTGGTTGAGCTTTCCAAATTCAAGACTCAAAATCTGAAATGCCCCCAATAAGCATCCCTTTGAGCATCATGTCAGCACTGAAAACATGTTGGATTTTGAAGCATTTTGGATTTTTGGATTCAGTGGATTTGGGATGTTCAACCAGTAACTGCTAGCACAGTTTGTTGCCACTGCCTTGATTCCTGCTAAGGTGTTGCAGTTTTACCCACCACTACTTTTGCAATATCAGTGCAAAGTGAACACAGTTATTTTTTTACCTTACCTTACCCTTACCTTATCAGTCAGGGTCTCACTCTGTCACCCAGGCTGGAGTGCAGTGGTGCGGTCATGGCTCACTGCAGCCTCAAACTCCTGAGCTCAAGCAATCCTCCCAACTCAGCCTCCCAAGAAGCTGGGACTACAGGCACATGGCACCACGCCCAGTTAATTTTTTTATTCTTTTGTAGAGATGGGTCTTGCTTTATTGCCCAGACTGGTTTTTAACTCCTAGGCTCAAGTGATCCTCCTGCCTCAGTCTCCTAAAGTGCTGGGATTATAGGTGTGCCTAGCTTGTGAACATAGTGAAAAAGGGAAACAATATCTATTATGAAAACAGTTTTGGCCTCACACCTATAATCCCAGCACTTTGGGAAACCAAGGCAGGAGAACTACTTGAGCCCAGGAATTTGAGACCAGCCTGGGCAACAAAGCAAGACCCCGTCTCTACAAAAGAATAAAAAAATTAGCTGGGCATGGTGGTGTGTGCTGAGGTCCGGGCTACCTGCGAATGCTGAGGCAGGAGGACTGCTTGAACCCAGGAGGTTGAGGTTGCAGTGGGCTAAGATCGAGCCACTGCACTCCAGTCTGGGTGACAGAGAAAGACCTTGTCTCAAACAAAACAATTTTGACCTTAGGGACCCTCTAACAGGTCCATATATTGAGAAACACTGAAAGAAAAAGAAAAGTAATAGACATTTATTTACCTGTTTCTTCTGTTCAGCGGGAGACACACATTTGGAACTAACCTTCTGAGCTTCCTCAAAAAGGCTATCAACAAAATATTCACAATTTGATTGTTGATTATTACCAAGAGGTTGATTATCAGATCCTGTTTCACAAACCCTAAACAAGATAAAGAAAAACAGGCACTATTAACTATTAGGTCTCTAAAAATTTACTTATTTTGTTCTAGTTAAGGATATTGAACTTAGATGCTACGTGCATGTCTGTAGTTCAGGCCCTCTCCTAAGTTAATATAACCTTGGGGAAGTCATTAACCCCTTTTTAGTCCAGAGCATGGTTTTCTCAACCTCAGCTCTACTAACATTTAGAAATGAATAATGCTTTGCTGTATGAGGTGTCCTGTGCACTGGAGATTGGGATCCCCAACCCCTAAGCCCATGGCCTGTCAGAAACCAGGTTGCACAGCAGGTGGTGAGTGACAGGCGAACAAGCAAAGCTTCATCTGTATTTACTGTTGCTCCCATCGCTCACATTACCACCTGAGCTCTGTCTCCTGTCAGATCAGTGGTGGCATTAGATTCCCATAGGAGCATGAACCTGTGAACTGAGCATCCAAGGGATATAGGTTGCAGGCTCCTTATGAGACTCTAATGCCTCATGATCTGTCGCTGTTTCCCATTGCCCCCAAATGGGACCATCTAGTTGCAGGAAAACAAGCTTAGGATTCCCACTGATTCTACATTATGGTGAGATGTATAATTATTTCATTATACACTACAATGTAATAATAATAGAAATAAAGTGCAAATAAATGTAATGTGCTTGAATCATCCCAAAACCATCTCCCCTTCTCCCCTTCTCTCCTGACAGGTCCGTGGAAAAACTGTCTTCCACAAAACCAGTCCCTGGTGCCAAAAAAGTTGGGGATCACTGTTGCAGAATGTTAAACAGTATCCTTGGCCTTTACCCATGAGATACAACAAGTAGGATGCACATCCCTGCCCCATCCCCAATCCCCAGTGTTATAACAACCAAAAACATCTCTTCACATTGCCAAATGCATCTAGGGGCAAAAATCTCTCTAGGTTAAAAACCACTGGTCTGGAGTAGAAAATGTGTGGTGTTTTTGTTCTGTTTTTTGAGGTTTTCTTGAGACAAGGTCCCTCTCTGTCGTGCAGGCTGGAGTGGAGTGGCGCAATTTCAGCTCACTACAGTCTCAACCTCCAGGGCTCAACCAATCTTCCCACTTCAGACCCCCAAGTAGCTGGGACTACAGGCTCCAACCACCATGTCCAGCTAATTTTTTGTAGAGATGGGATTTCACTGTGTTGCCCAGGCTGGTTTCAAACTCCTGGGCTCCAGTGATGTGCCTGTCTTGGCCACCCAAAGTGCTGGGACTACGGGTGTGAGCCATTGCTCCTGGCCAAAAATGTGTTATTTTTAAAGGGCTCAAAATGACTTTAAAAGGGATTACTATGCGTTTTTTTGGTAACAGAAAACACTTTTGAACTAAAGGGGATAATGCATCAGGAACAATTGCATTTTTGTTCCTTTGCACACTTCAGAATATTTCCCACTGAAAACATTATTTATAGTGATTTATTTATTTATTTTTGAGACAGAGTCTCATTCTGTCACCCAGGATGAAGTGCAGTTGCATGATCACAGCTCACTGCTGCCTCAACCTCCTGGACTCAAGTGATTCTCCCCCAAGTAGCTGGTTCTACAGGCACACATTGCCACAGCTGGCTGAATTTTAAAAATGTTTTGGAGAGGCTGGGAACAGTGGCTCATGCCTGTAATCCCAGCACTTTGAGAGGCCAAGGCGGGAGGATCATGAAGTCAAGAGATTGAGACCATTCTGGCCAACGTGGTGAAACCCTGTCTCTACAAAAAATACAAAAATTAGCTGGGCATGATGGTACGCTCCTGTACTCCCAGCTACTCAGGAGGCTGAGGCAGGAGAATCACTTGAACCTGGGAGGTGGAGGTCACAGTGAGCCGAGATTGCACCACTGCACTCCAGCCTGGCAACAGAGCAAATACATAAATAAATGTTTTGGAGAAAAAGGGTCTCACTATGCTGTCCAGGCTTATCGCAAACTCCTGGGCTCAAGCAATCCTCCCGTGTCTGTTTCCCAAAGTACTGGCATTACAGGTGTGAGCCACTGTATCCAGCCTATAGTAGTTTAATACTTTACTGGTTTTTATTTTGTATTTTTATTTCTTTATAGAAGAAATATCAGCTGGGTGAGGTAGCTCATGCCTGTAATCCCAGCACTTTGGGAGGCTGAGGCAGGCGGATCACGGGGTCAAGAGATCAAGACCATTCTGGACAACATGATGAAACCTCGTCTCTACTAAAAATATAAAAATTAGCTAGGCGTGGTGGTGCGTACCTGTAGTCCCAGCTACTCAGGAGGCTGAGGCAGAAGAATCGCTTGAACCTGGGAGGCGGAGGTTGCAGTGAGCCGAGATCATGCCACTGCACTCCAGCCTGGCGACAGAGAGAGACTCTGTCTCAAAAAAAAAAAAAAAAAGAAAAAAGAAAAAGAAATATTATCTAAGATTCTGTTTGCCAGGAAAAGATGGTTTCTGGTTGTTCTCTTTTGAAATCATGCAGGAAAATTTATAAAAGTACAGAAATACGATTTCTCAAATTCTATAAATAATACTTTTATAAAGTATTATAAATCATACTTTTATACCTCTTATACTGTGCCAGGAAATATAAGTTAGATACTGTTTTTTTTTTTTTTCCTGAGACGGAGTCTCACTCTGTCCCCCAGGCTGGACTGCAGTGGCGCAATCTCGGCTCACTGCAAGCTCCACCTCCTGGGTTCATGCCATTCTCCTGCCTCAGCCTCTGGAGTAGTTGGGACTACAGGCACCCGCCACCACACCTGGCTAATTTTTTGTATTTTCAGTAGAGACAGGGTTTCACCATGTTAGCCAGGATTATCTCGATCTGACCTCGTGATCCGCCTGCCTCAGCCTCCCGAAGTGCTGGGATTACAGGCGTGAGCCACCACGCCCGGCAAAGTTAGATACTGTTAACTAACCATGCTGCCACTCTGTCTCCCAAGTCTGTGATCCTAACCATGACATCTTATAAAGAACTATTCTAAGTACCTTACATGTGCCAACTCATTCAAATCCTCACAATGACCCTAAAGGTAGGTATTATTTTTATCCCCATTTAATAGATGAAGAAAAAGCTTAAGAAATTTGCCAGAGACCACAAAGCTACTAGGAGGCAGTGCTAGGAACTGAACTCAAGCTACCAATGTCTCTGCTCTTAATCACTATGCTAGACTGTCATGGAGAATAGCTATCACTGAGCCTTGGCGTGGTGGTGCACGTCTGTAGTCACTTGAGGAGTGACTTGAGGCCAGGAGTTTGAGGCTGTAGTGTGCTGTGACTGAGCCCACTAGAATGCCGTGACTAACTACTGCATTTTAGCCTGGGCAACATAGTGAGACCTCATCTCTTAAAAAAAAAAAAGGCCATCACTATATTGTTACTAAAATGCCGATACTCAGGGCAGTGCTTTAACTTAGGTATACATTTTTTTCCTTCCCTAGGTAGTCCTCTCGTATATACTCTTAAAATACTCCATATCATCACAAAGTATTATGCCTTTTCCAAAGCAATGACATGATACCTCTTACACAGAAATAGTTACACCCTAAGATGGTTTCTTATAACACTAGTGATTTTCCCCTTCCTTTAATCAGCATAGTCACATAGCAGTATAGCATATTGTCTAAAAGTCTGGGTGTTGCTGTTTGTATTTAAGTGCCTTCATTTAGTCACACTGACAATGGACAATAAACTTAACTTCTATGTGATTTGCTTTGCTTATCTGTGAAATACAGATACCACCACTCATTTCACATGGTTGTTGTGAAGATTAAATGAAAATATATATAAAAGCCTAAACATGGTATATAGTAAGTATCAGTATACATACTGGCACACAGTACACTCTCAAATATTAGTAATATCATTATAACCATTTTATGCTTTCTGGTATTTAACTGTTTCTTCTGTTCAGATGGTAGTTAGTGCTCCATTAGTAATTACTAAATACAAAGCCAATAAAGCTGAGCATCCAGAGTAGCTGAAATTTCATTCCTTCATGTTATTTATTTAATGTGTAAATTCTATTAAACTTCATCATGTGCATTCAAATTACTCAAATATTTATTGAGTATCTACTACATGCTAGGTGGCAGGGAGATATGAAGACGAGTAAGAAACGGTCTATGTTTATAAGAGGTTCAGGGTAGAGTGGAGTGGAGTGGAGTGGAAATGTATAGTAAGAGTAGAGTAGAGTAGAGATGTATCGTAGGAAATAGTTACAATAGAAAATACAGCCAGGCACAATGGCTCATGCCTGTAATCCCAGCATTTTGGGAGGCCAAGGTAGGAGAACTGCTTGAGCCCAGGATTGGAGACCAGCCTGGGCAACATGGCGAAATCCCATCTCTATAAAAAAAGAAAAGAATAAGCTGGGCGTGGTGGTGCACACCTGTAGCCCCAGCTACTTGGGAGGCTGAGCTCAGGAGGCCAAGGTTGCAGTGAACTGAGATCATGTCAATGTACTCCAGGCCTGGGCAACAGAGTAAGACCCTATCTCAAAACAAAAACAAAAACATTAAAAAAAAAAAAAAAAAAAAAAGGCCGGGCGCGGTGGCTCACGCCTGTAATCCTAGCACTTTGGGAGGCCAAGGTGGGCGGATCACAAGGTCAGGAGATCGAGACCATCCTGGCTAACACGGTGAAACCCCGTCTCTACTAAAAATACAAAAATTAGCCAGGTGTGGTGGCGGGCGCCTGTAGTCCCAGCTACTCGGGAGGCTGAGGCAGAAGAATGGCGTGAACCTGGGAGGCAGAGCTTGCAGTGAGCTGAGATCACGCCACCGCACTCCAGCCTGGGCAACAGAGCGAGACTCTGTCTCAAAAAAAAAAAAAAGAAAAAAAGAAAATATCTACCAGGCCAGGTGCGGTGGCTCACGCCTGTAATCCTAGCACTTTGGGAGGCCAAGGTGGGCGGATCACGAGGTCAAGAGATCAAGACCATCTGGCCAACACGGTGAAACCCCGTCTCTACTAAAAATACAAAAATTAGCTGGAGTGGTGGCATGTGCCTGTAGTCCCAGCTACTTGGGAAGCTGAGGCAGGAGAAATGCTTGAACCTGGGAGGCGGAGGTTGCAGTGAGTCAAGATCGCGGCACTGCACTCCAGCCTGGCGACAAAGAGAGATTCTGTCTTTAAAAAAAAAAAAGAAAATAACTACAATAAGAGATATAAGGTACAGTTCAGAAAACTGGGGCACTCTGGCTCCATTGAACAGGTGGTAATGGGTTTGTTTCACTTTTGATGAGTGTATAGGCACAGGAAAAAAGAGTAGCAAAGGCATTAAGAACTGCTTTATGCCCCTAAAATTGATAACTTAGATGAAATGAACCAATTTATTATAAGGCACCCTCTATCAAAACACACACAAGAAGGAACAGATAATATGAATAGGCTTATGCATACTAAGGGAATTAAATCAATAATATATAACCTTCCGAAACAGAAGCACCAGGTCTGGATGATGTCACTGATGAATGCTACCAAACATTTAAGAAAGAAATGATGCCAATTCTCTATAATCTCTTCCAGAAAATAGAAGCAGAGGGAATACTTCTAACTCATTCTACGAGGATAACACTATGCTAATACTAAAACCAAAGACATTACAAGAAAGGAAAGCTACAGAAAATTTATCATGAACATATATGCAAAAATACTCAACAAAATATTAGCAAACAGAATACAACAATGTATATAAAAAAGTAAACACCACAACCGTGTAGGATTTATCCTAGGTATGCGAGGCTGCAGTGGTTTAACACTGAAAATTAATTCATGTAATCTATCACATCATTAGCCTAAAGAAGAAAAATAATATAATCATATCAACATATGCAGAAAAAGCATTAGACAATATCTAACAACCATTCATAATAAAACCCCCACCAACTAGGAAGAGAAAGGGAACTTTCTCAACTTGGTAAACAATGTCTGCAAAAGCCTACATCTAACATCATATTTAATCAGGAGAAACTAGATGCTTTCCCACTAAGATCAGGAACAAGACAAGGATGCTGCGTCTCACCATTCCTCATCAGTGTTGTACTGGAAGTCCGAGCTAATCCAGTAAGATAAGGAAAGGAAGTAAAATGTATACAGGTTGGAAAGGAGGCCAGGTGCAGTGGCTCATGCCTATTATCCCAGCACTTTAGGAGGCGGAGGTGGGAGGACCCCTTGAGCCCAGGAGTTTGAGACCAGCCTGGGCAACATAGGGAGACCCCATCTCTATAAAAAAAATACGAAAAATTAGCCAGGTATGGTGGCACATGCCTATAGTTCCAGCCTCTCCAATAGCTAATTTTTGTATTTTGTAGGCATGAGGGTTTACCATATGCCCCAGGCCAGTCTTGAACTCCTGGGGTCAAGAAATGTGCCTGCTTTGGCCTCCCACAGTGCTAGGATTACAGACGTGAGCCACTGCGCTCAGCCAGTAAACACATCTTAAAATGTCAGGAGTTCCTATAATAATAAAAGTACAGAAGCTTCAGGTGAGGGATTTTCTAAAAAGTTTTTTTTATTTTATCATGGTAAGAACACTTAAAATGAGACCTAACCTCTTAACATATTTTTAAGTGAACAATAAAGTGTGGTTAACTATAGGTACTATGTTGTTCAGCATATCTCTAGGACCTATTCATCTTGCTTAACTGAAACCTTATGCCCACTGATTAGCAACTCCTCATTTTCACTTTCCCCTAGCCCCTGGCAACCACCATTATATCCTCAAGGTTCATCTATGTTGTTGCATACTGCAGAATTTCCTTCTTTCTCAAGACTGAATAGCCGAGCGTGGTGGCTCACGCCTGTAATCCCAGTACTTTGGGAGGTCGAGGCAGGCGGATCACTTGAGGTCAGGAGTTTGAGACCAGCCTGACCAACATGGTGAAACCCTGTCCCTACTAAAAATACAAAATTAGCCGGGTGTGGTGGCACACGATTGTAATGCCAGCTACTCAGGAGGCTGAGGCAGGAGAATCACTTGAACCTGGGAGGCAGAGGTTGTGGTGAGCCGAGATTGTGCCATTGCACTCCAGCCTGGGCAAGAAGAGCGAAACTCTGTCTCAAAAAAAAAAAGGATTGGATAATATTCCATTTTGGGTATGTATTATATATTCTTTACCCATTCATCTCTTTTCGAGATTTTTTTTTTTTTTTTGAGACAGGATCTGGCTCTGTCACCCAGAATGGAGAAGCGCAGTGACACGATCATGGTTCACTGCAGCCTAGAACTCCTAGGCTCAAACGATCCTCCTGTCTCAGCCTCCTCAGTAGCTGGGTCTACAGGTATGTGTCACCAAGCTGGCTAGTTTTTCAATTTTTCTTTTGTAGAGATGAGTTCTCACTATGTCAACAAGGCTGGTTTCAAACTCCTTCCCTCAAGGGATCCTCCTGCCTTGGGTTCCCAAAATGTTGGCATTACAGATGTGAGCCACGGCACCCAGTCTCTTCAAGATTCTGATTCCAATTCCTTTGGATAATATCCAGAGGTGGGATTGCTGGATCTATTCAGCAATCCATTCTGTGGCAATTCTATTTTTAATTTTTTGAGGAATCGCCATACTGTTTTCCATAGTAGCTACACCATTTTGCATCCCCATCAACAGTGTTCAAGGGTTCTCTTTTCTCCATATCCTCACCAGGACTAGCTCTTTTGTTTTTTGACAACAGCCATCCTGACAGGTGTGAGGTGATTACTCTTATTTTGATTTGCATTTCCCTGATGATTACTAGTGACACTGAACATATACCTGTTGTATGCCTTATTCGGAGAAATGTCTATTCAGACTTTTTTTCCACTTTTCTCTTTTTTTTTTTTTTTGAGACACTGTCTCACTCTTTCACTCAGGCTGGAGTGCAGTGGTGCAATCTTGCCTCAGCCCCCCGAGTAGTTGGGATTACAAGTGTGTGCCACCACGCCTGGCTACTTTTTGTATTTTTAGTAGAGACAGGGTTTCACCATGTTGGTCAGGCTGGTCTCGAACTTCTGACCTCGTGATCCGCCCGCCTCAGCCTCCCAAAGTGCTGGGATTATGGGTGTGAGCCACTGCGCCCGGCGTTTTCTTCCATTTTTTAATTGGGTTATTGATACGGTTTGGCTGTGTCCCCACCCAAATCTCATCCTGAATTCCCATGTGTTGTGGGAGGGACCTGGTGGGAGGTAATTGAATCATGGGAGCAAGTCTTTCCCATGCTGTTCTCATGATAATAAATAAGTCTCACGAGACGTGATAGTTTTAAAAAGAGGAGTTCCCCTGCACAAACTCTCTCTCTTTGCCTGCTGCCATCCATGTTAAGATGTAACTTGCTCTTCCTTGCCTTCTGCCATGATTGTGAGGCTTCCCCAGCCATGCGGAACTGTAAGTCCAATTAAACCTCTTCCTTGCCGGACGCGGTGGCTCATGCCTGTAATCCCAGCACTTTGGGATGCCAAGGCGGGTGGATCACCTGAGGTCGGGAGTTGGAGACCAGCCTGCCTGACCAACATGGAGAAACCCTGTCTCTACTAAAAAATACAAAACTAGCCAGGTGTGGTTGCACATGCCTGTAATTCCAGCTACTAGGGAGGCTGAGGCAGGAGAATGGCTTGAACCCAGGAGGCTGAGGCTGCCATGAGCCGAGACTGCATCATTGCACTCCAGCCTGGGCAACAAGAGCGAAACTCCGTCTCAAAAAAAAAAAAAAAAAGAATAAAAAAAGGAAAAAAAAACCTCTTACTTTTGTAAATTGCCCAGTCTCGGGTATGTCTTTATCAGCAGCATGAAAATGGACTAATACAGTTGCTATGATTATTAGTTTTTTGCTACTGAGTTGTAGGAGTATCTGATATATATTTTGGTAACTAATCCCTTATAAAATATATTGTTTCCAAATATTTTTTTCCCATTCCATAGGCTGCCTTTTCATTCTGTTGTTTCCTTTGCTTCAGGTAAGGGACTCTGAAACAACTATTTGGGCAGCAGAACAGCCTCTTTTGTTTGCTTTCTCATTGTCTACTGTGTTCTGCATAAATAAGGTTATGAATTAGCTGTTGTTCATATGGGTGAAAGATTTGCATCTGTGGACGCTTAGATAGCACATATGGTAAACATAGAACTTCACCATTTATAACCTTTGAACAACTGATACACTTAGAAAAGCAGTTTTTGGCTGGGCGCGGTGGCTCATGCCTGTAATCCTAGCACTTTTGGGAGGCTGAGGTGGGCAGATTGCCTGAGGTCAGGAGTTCAAGACCAGCCTGGACAACATGGTGAAACCCCATCTCTACTAAAAGTACAAAAATTAGCCAGGCATGGTGGTGGGCACCTGTACTCCCAACTACTCGGGAGGCTGAGGCAGGAGAATTGCTTGAACCTGGGAGGCGGAGGTTGCAGTGAGCTGAGATCACGCCACTGCACTCCAGCCTGGGTGACAGAGCAAGACTCTGTCTCAAAAAATAAAAAAAAAAGGCCGGGTGCGGTGGTTCACACCTGTAATCCCAGCACTATGGGAGTCCGAGGCAGGCAGATCATGACGTCAAGAGATAGAGACCATCCTGGCCAACATGGTGAAACCCCATCTCTACTAAAAATACAAAAATTAGCTGGGCGTGGTGGTGTGCACCTACAGTCCCAGCTACTCGGGAGGCTGAGGCAGGAGAATCACTTGAACCTGGGAGGCGGAGGTTGCAATGAGCCGAGATCATGCCATTGCGCTCCAGCCTGGTGACAGAGCAAGACTTCATCTCACCAAAAAAAAAAAAAAAAAAAAAAAAGGCAGTTTTCTTTGCATTTTTCCCTGGACCATTGTTTTTAACAAAACATTTTTACAAATCCACTTTTGTTACAAAGAAAATTATAAACTATCACCAATATTTTTGTGTACTTTACCAAATATTTTACTTAAAATTCAAAGTACAGGCCAGGCACGGTGGCTCACGTCTGTAATCCTAGCACTTTGGGAGGCCGAGGTGGGCGGATCACCTGAGGTCAGGAGTTCGAGATCAGCCTGGACAACATGGTGAAACCCCATCTCTACTAAAAATACAAAAATTAGCCAGGCGTGGTGGCACACACCTGTAGTCCCAGCTACTTGGGAGGCTGAGGCAGGAGAATTACTTGAACCTGGGAGGCAGAGGTTGCAGTGAGCCAAGATTGTACCACTGCACCCCAGCCTGGGTGACAAGAGCAAAACTCCGTCTCAAAAAAAACAAAAACAAAAAAAATTCAAAGTACATACTGATACATGCTCTACAACATAGGTGAACCTTGAAAACATTATGCTAAGTGAAAGCAGTCAGTCACAAAAGACCACATATTGTATAACTGCATTTATATGAAATGTCCAGAACAGGTAAATCTGTAGAAATAGAAAGCAGACGGCCAGGCATGGTGGCTCACACCTGTAATCCCAGAACTCTGGGAGGCCAAGGCGGGCAGATCACCTGAGGTTAGGAGTTTGAGACCAGACTGGCCAATATGGTGAAACCCCATCTGCACTAAAAATACAAAAAACTTAGCTGAGCATGGTGGTGCGTGCCTGTAATCTCAGCCACTCGGGAGGCTGAGGCAGGGGAATTGCTTGAACCTGGGAGGTGGAGGTTGCAGTGAGCCAAGATCACGCCGTTGCACTCCAGCCTGGGCAACAGAGTGAGATTCCGTCTCAAAAAAAGAAAGCAGTTTCATGGTTGTCAGGGGCAAGGCATAGGACAATGGGTGGGATTGCTAATGGATATGGGGTTTCTCTTTGGGGTAATATAAATGCGCGAAAATTGACTATGTTAATGACTGCAAAAATCTGTGAATGTACTAAAAACTACTGAACTATATATTTTAAGTGAATGAATTATATGGTATGTGAATTATATTTCAATAAAGCCATTTTAAAACAGGCCTGTTCTAAGTTAATTTTACCATTTCAAATCAGTCATTCAATTTATTACTGCGCAGAAATGAGTTAATATAGCAGATCTGATTGCTATCTTTTGAAAGACTTGCTTACAAGGCTGGTCCTGGGCTGGCATCTGCAAACTTGGATTTCTGTTTTTTTGTTTTTTTTTGAGACAGAGTCTCACTCTGTCGCCCAGGCTGGAGTGCAGTGGCGCGATCTCGACTCACTGCAAGCTCCACCTCCTGGGTTCACGCCATTCTCCTGCCTCGGCCTCCCGAGTAGCTGGGACTACAGGCACCCGCCACCATGCCCAGTTAATTTTTTTTTTGTATTTTTAGTAGAGACGGGGTTTCACCGTGTTAGCCAGGATGGTCTCGATCTCCTGACTTCGTGATCCACCCGCCTCGGCCTTCCAAAGTGCTGGGATTACAGGCATGAGGCACTGCGCCCGGCCGCACCTGCAAACTTGGATTTCTAGAAGGTTCCCATCACCCTAAATTTATAAGGATGGCTCAATGTACAGTTTATATAAACAATGTGATTTATATTGAACTCCTGCTTTCCTTATGATAGCCTGAAATTTTAGGATGTAACTAGCTCCCACTAAAAACTCTAGGCTCATCTCCAATGAGCTTTCCTGGTAGACAATACTTCACATGAATTTGTCACAACTTGTTACTGGGGGAATTAAGTACATCCTGGGTGACTCCACTGGGTGAGGACCCCTGGAAGCTTGTGCCTGGTTTTCCCTATGTACTTTTTCCCTTTGCTGATTTTGCTTTGCAACCCTTCACTGTAATAAATTATAATCATGAGTATAACTACATTCTAAATCTTACAAATTCTTCTAGTAAATCATCAAAACTAGGGGTGGTCTTGGAGACCTCTGACACAACTTCACATTTATTTATTTATTTTTATTTATTTTTTGAGACGGAGGAGTCTTGCTCTGTCACCCAGGCTGGAGTGCAGTGGTGCGGTCTTGGCTCACTGAAACCTCCACCTCTAAGGTTCAAGCAATTCTCCTGCCTCAGCCTCCTGAGTAGCTGGGACTACTGGTACCTGCCACCACACCTGGCTAATTTTTGTATTTTTAGTAGAGATGGGATTTCATCATGTTGTCCAGGCTGGTCTCGAACTCCTGACCTCAGGTGATCCGCCTACCTCGGCCTCCCAAAGTGCTGAGATTACAGGCGTGAGCCACTGTGCCCGGCCAACAACCTCACAATTATATAATTAGCATCAAATATTTATATAAGCCTATAAATACCTGAGTTAAAAAATAAATAATAGGCCAAGCATGGTGGCTCACGCTTATAATCCTAGCATTTTGAGAGGCTGTGGCAGGAGGATCACTTGAAGCCAGGAGTTCTGAGCAATATAGTGAGACCTCATTGCTACAAAAAAATTTAAAAATTTAACTGGAGGCAGTGGTGTAAGCCTGTAGTCCCAGCTACTCAGGAAGCCAAGGAGAGATGATCACTTGTCCCCAGGAATTCAAGGCTCCAACAAGCTATGATTGCACCACTGCACTCTAGCTTGGGCAACAGACACCCTGTCTGTAAAAACAAAAGAAAAAGAAAAAAAGATACACACATAAAACCTTTCAGATAGGTAGGTATTTGTATCCTTATTTTATAGATGAGATATTGAGGCTCAAAGAATTTACCTAAGCTGCCCAAAGGCCAGAGAGATAATAGAAGGCAGAGACGGGATTCAAGCCTAGGTTTATCTGACTCCAAAGCCATATTCCCACTATGACACTAAAATAGTGTATCTATCACAAGAGGCTAATGAGGTAAATAGTTATTTAATTTATCAAATAACAGAAGTAATGTATGAACACAGATAATTTAACTTTTTAAAATTAATAAAAAACATTCAGTAACTTCAATAAAATTTGTTTAATGCAGCTATGGTAAAAAAATTACTTCAACATAGTAGATGACAATGAAGTAGTCATACATAATTAAAACGTACTCTACTATCTCTGCAAGTGAAATGTAATAAAAATACAGGACGATATTAACAAAGGCATTAACAAAGCAATTCAGTTTGAATTAACTTACCATTCTTCTTTTATACTTTTGAGGTTATCTACGTCTTTCATTCTCTTTCGCCTTACTGTAAAAGTACAAAGAAAGTAAGTAAAAAGAAAGTAAGTAAAAAGCTTAATATGTAAGTTACCATGTAGTCCTAAAGTATTACTTAAAAGTGTCTAAAGAAAAAGTGAGCAAACTCAAAGCTGTCATTTTCATCATCAAAATAAAGCAATGATAGAAAATACATTTTAAGTCTGATAATCTGACAAAAGAAAGACTTCTTAAAACTTATTATGAAAAAAAGTATAATATACCATTTGACTTAACAAATGAACTGGGCATGTGCCTCACACCTGTAATTCCAGCACTTTGGGAGGAAAAGGTAGGAGGATTGCTGAAGCCAAGGAATTCAAGACCAGTCTGGGTAAAATAGTGAGACTGACTCTACAAAAAATGGCTAGGCGCAGTGGCTCATGCCTGTAATCCCAGCACTTTGGGAGGCCAAGGTGGGTGGATCACATTTATTATTTATTTATTTATTTATTTTTGAGATGGAGTACCGCTCTTGTTGCCCAGGCTGGAGTGCAATGGCACAATCTCGGCTCACCACAACCTCCATCTCCCGGGTTCCAGAGATTCTCCTGCCTCAGCCTCCCGAGTAGCTGGGATTACGGACGTGCGCCACCACACCCGGCTAATTTTTTATTTTTAGTAGAGTCGAGGTTTCTCCATGTTGGTCAGGCTGGTCTCGAACTCCCAACCTCAGGTGATCCACCTGCCTCGGCCTCTCAAAGTCCTGGGATTACAGGTGTGAGCCACAGTGCCCAGCCATGGGTGGATCACTTGAGGTCAGGAGTTCAAGACCAGCCTGGTCAACATGGTGAAACCCTGTCTCTTCTAAAAAATATAAAAATTAGCCAAGTGTGGTGGTACGCACCTGTAGTCCCAGTTATTCAGAAGGCTGAGGCAGGAGAATCACTTGAACCTGGGAGGCAGAGGTTGCAGTGTGCTGAAATCACACCACTGCACTCCAGCCTGGGCAACAGAACAAGACTTCATCTCAGAAAAAAAAAGTTAGCCAGGCATTATGGTGCACCTCTGTGGTTCCAGCTACTCAGGAAGTTGAGGTGCTGAGGTGGGAGGATAACTTGAGCCCAGGAGTTCAAGGATGCAGAGGGTCATCATCATGCCACTGTGCTCCAGCCTGGGCAACAGCCCTATGCACCTGCAGGCTCAACCAATCATGGATCAAAAATATTCAAGGAAAAAAAAATAAGAAAAACAATACAACAAAAAATAATACAAATTTTAAAATTACATAACAACTATTTACATAGTATCAGGTATTATAAGTAATTTAAAGGTGATTTATAGTATACAGGAGGATGTGCATACGTTATCTGCAAATAGTATGCTATTTTATGCAAGGGACTTGAGCATCAGCAGATTTTGGTATCTATGGGGGTCTTGGAACCAATCTTCCAGGGACACCAAGTGACAGGTGTAGTCCAAACCACTGGTCTGCTGAGAAGGCCTGGAAGCAATGACATACCAGAAGCAATGAGCACATCAAGTGCCTATATGTTGGTTTCTAAATATTCTACTGTTTAAGGAGAATGTTTTTCTTAAATTGCTCCTTCAAGAAAAGGATAACTTCAGGGCTGGGGCAGAGAAAGATGAACATGGAAACTTTTACCCCAGAAAAGGTACCCAAAGAATGATAAGGACAGGGCCAGGTGTGGTGGCTCACGTCTGTAATCCCAGCACTTTGGGAGGCCAAGGAGGGTGGATCACCTGAGGTCAGGAGTTCAAGACCAGCCTGGCCAACATGGTGAAACCCCATCTCCACTAAAAATACAAAAATTAGCCAGGCATGGTGGTCGGCGCAAGTAATCCCAGCTACTAGGTAGGCTGAGGCAGGAGAATCACTTCAACCCTGGAGGCGGAGCTTGCAGTGAGCTGAGACTGCGCCACTGCACTCCAACTCTGGTGACAGAGTTAGTGAGACTGTCTCAAAAAAGAAACAAATAATAAATTAAAAAGAAAAAATGAAAAGAAAAAGTGACCCCAAAGGCACTCTGAAGGGGCTCCCATTCGGTAAATCTGGTAAACTGAACATCTAAAAAAATAACAATACTAGTGGATTCTGCTCCATTGAATAAAACAAAAATATGTGAGTCTATACGATCAGATTTTTTTTTTTTTAATAAAAAAGATGAGGTCAGGTATGGTGGCTCATGCCTGTACTCCCAGCACTTTGGGAGGCCGAGGCAGTTGGATCACTTCAGGCCAGGAGTTCGAGACCAGCCTGTCCAACATGGCAAAACCCATCTCTACTAAAAATACAAAAATCAGCTCGGCATAGTGGCACATATCTGTAATCTCCACTACTCAGGAGGCTGAGGCATGAGAATTACTTGAACCTGGGAGGCAGAGGTTGAAGTAAGCCGAGACTGCGTCGCAGCACTCCAGCCTGAGATGAACCCTTTAATAAACTCACAGTAATGTGGCATTATCATAACCAAAATACATTCCAAATACAGTAATACACTGTGTAACAACATTTTGGTCAATGACGGACTGCATATACAATGGTGGTCCCATAAGATTATAACAGTATATTTTTACTGTGTCTTTTCTATGTTGAGATATGTTTGGATACGCAAATAGTTACCATTATATCATAACTGCCTACAGTATTTGGTACAGTAACATGCTGTACAGGTTTGTAGCCTAGGAGCAATATGCTACACCATACAGCCTGTGTGTATAGTTGGCTATAACATCAGGTTTGTGTAAATACATTGTATGATATTCACACAATGACAAAACTGCCTAATGACACTTTCCAGAATGTATGCCCTTCATTAAGTGACACAGGATTATATATACAAGATTTAAAATGTTTAAACTCCTTATTGAAAGAGAGTGAGAGAAAAAGAAAAAGGAAAATTAAACTCTTGAGGGTGACATCAGCAAAATGGAAGAACAGGTAGGTCCAGGCACCTGTCCCCTCTACAGAAATATCAAAAGACAAGTAGAAACTCTTAGAACCAACTTTGTCAGAACTCTAGAAAATAGTCAAAGAAGGGTTACAGCAACCAAGGGAATGCTGAATCAAGAAAATGGCAACTTAAAAATGGTAGGCAAGCAGCCGGGTGCGATGGCTCACGCCTGTAATCCCAGCACTTTGGGAGGCCGAGGTGGGCGAATCACAAGGTCAGGAGATCGAGACCATTCTGGACAGCAAGGTGAAACCCCGTCTCTACTAAAAATACAAAAATTAGCTGGGCGTGGCGGTGCATGCCTGTAATCCCAGCTACTCAGGAGGCTGAGGCAGGAGAATGGCCTGAACCCGGGAGGTGGAGGTTGCAGTGAGCCGAAATTGCACCACTGCACTCCAGTCTGGCGACAAAGCTAGACTCTGTTTCAAAAAAAAAAAAAAAAAAAAGGTAGGCAAGCTGGGCACAGTGGCACACTCCTGTATTCCCAGCTACTTGGGAGGCTGAGAGGCAGGAGATCACTTGAGCCAGGGAATTTGAGGCTGCAGTGAGCCATGATCATGTCACCACACTCCAGCCTGGGCAACAGAGCAAGAATCTGTCTCTTAAAAAAAAAAAAAAAAAGATATGCAAAAATGGGCAAAGGACTTGTGTGAATAGACATTTTTCCAAAGAAGAAATAAAAATGGCCAATAAGCACGTGAAAAGATGCTCAAAATCAATAGTTCCTAGGAAACACAAATCAAAACCATAATGAGATACTACTTCACACCCACTAGGATGGCTATTAAAAAGAAAACAAAAAGCAGAAAACAAGCGTTGGCAAGGTTGTAACGAAATTGAAACCCTGGTACGCTACTGGTGGGAATGTGAAATACTGCAGCTGCTGAGGAAAACATTTTGGTGGCTACAGCAATATTCACAATAGCCAAAAGGTGGAAACAACCCAAGTATCCATCAACAGATGTATGGATAAACAAAATGAGGTGTATATAAGCAATGGAATATTATTCAGCCATAAAAGGAGTGAAATTCTGATACATACTATAACATGGATGAATGCTGAAAACATGATGCTACATGAATAAAAAAGTCAGATACAAAAGGACAAACACTTTATGATTCCAAATATATAAAATATCTAGAATAGGTGATTGATAAAGACAGAAAGTAGGACAGAGGTTACTAGGGATTGAGATGAATGGGGAAGGACCAGTTACTTAATGGGTAGTCCCAGCTACTCGGGAGGCTGAGGCAGGAGAATCACTTGTACCCGGGAGGCGGAGGTTGCAGTGGGCTGAGACCACGCCATTGCACTCCAGCCTGGGCAACAAGAGTGAAACTCAGTCTTAAAACAAAAAGAAAAAAAAATTATAATGTCTCCAATTTGCAACTGCTAATGCAATAATGAATCTAGGCAATGATATCAATGGCTGCTAACATCACAAACAGAGACAACCAGACAAAAAAACATGCCTCAGTGTAAAAGCTTGTACCATCATCTATTCTTGCCAAAAATGTGAATCTGAATCCATTCAAGCCTCTAGATCTAACTACCAGATTACAGGAAATACAGGGCACAAAGGAGCATAATCAGATGATATCACAAGAATGCAATCAACAAAGTCCAGAATGTGGGAAATTCTTTAGGAAAAATGATCCATTTTCTTCAACACATATATTATGAGGGAGAAAAATGTGATGACAGTAGATTCTTTAAATATTTCAGAAATATATCAATGTATTACAATGTATGGACCATATTTCGATTTTGATTTAAACAAATCAACCGTAAAAAAAAGTTATGAAAGAATCCGTAACATCTGAATAGTGACGGGATATCTGATGTTATTTTGGAGCGATGATTAATTTTTAGGGTGTGACGATGGGACTGTAGCTATAAGTTTTTTAAGTCACTGCTTTAGATACATACTGAAATATTGACTGATGAATACTATAACTGGAACTTGCTTCAAACAATCAAGTGGATTGGGGAGTGGATGGAATATAATTAAAATCAAAATGGCCACAACTTGATAATCATCAAGATGGGTAATGAGTAGATATGAGAGTTTACTGTTCTCTCCATTTTTATACACACTTGAAAAGTTTCATAATAAAATTTGGGATGAAAAACTCTACCCTAAAAATATATACACCTAGAGTGCTATACCGCAATTTCATTTGTTTTTTTAAAAGGCAGTACTTTTGCTCTATCAGAAAATTACTCTTAATAATCTAAGAGTAGCAGTAATTTCAAAGATTTGAATCCTTATGAAATATAACTTGCCTCTTACTCTCCAAATCATAAATTTGAAGCTGTGAAAAGCAATGTGTATCCACATTTAAACTAATGACTATGAAAAGATGTATTATGACCACAATAAAGATTACTTTGTTAAAAAAAAAAAAAACAACTAAGAGCTTCATATGACATTTGGTTGATTCATGGCTTGAAAAAAAAATCAATGACTTTTTCACAATTTTAAAATTAAATAAACAGGCCAGGCATGGTGGCTCACACCTGTAATCTCAGCACTTTGGGATGTCAAAGTGGGAGGACTGTTTGAGGCCAGAAGTGCCAAACCAGGCTGGGCAACATAGCCAGACCCCATCTCTACAAAAAATACAAAAATTTGGCTGTGTGTGGTAGCTCACACCTGTAATACCAACACTTTGGGAGGCCAAGGCAGGTAGATCACAAGGTCAGGAGTTCAAGACTAGCCTGGCCAACATGGTGAAACCCGTCTCTACTAAAGACACAAAAAATTAGCCAGGCGTGGTAGCACGCACCTGTAATCCCAGCTACTCAGGAGGCTGAGGCAGAAGAACTGCTTGAACCCGGGAGGTGGAGATTGTGGTGAGCTGACATCGCGCCATTGCACTCCAGCCTGGGCGACAGGGAAAGACTCTGTCTCAAAAAAATAAATAAATAAAAATAAAAAATAAATTAGCCCGGCACGGTGGCATATGCCTGTAGTCCCAGCTACTCCGGAGGCTGAGATGGGATGATCGCTTGAGCCCAGGAAGTTGAGGCTGCAGCGACCTGTGATCATTCTACTACATTCCAGCTTGGGCAACAGAGGGAGACCGTCTTAAAAAACAAAACCCAGCAGCCGGGTGTGATGGCTCACGCCTGTAATCCCAGCACTTTGGGCGGCCAAGGCAGGTGGATCACCTGAGGTCAGGAGTTTGAGACCAGCCTGGCCAACATGGTCAAACCCCATCTCTACTAAAAATACAAAAATTAGGCGGGTGTGATGGCGAGCGCTTGTAGTCCCAGCTACTTGAGAGGCTGAAGCAGGAGAATTGCTTGAACACAGGAGGCAGAAGTTGCAGTGAGCCGAGATCATACCACTGCACTCCAGCCTGGGTGACAGAGTGAGACTCTGTCTCAAAAAAAAAAAAAAAAAGGAAAAAAACTTCAGGAAATCATAACTCTATGCCCATTAACGTTTTCTCATAAGATTTCTTCCTTCAAACGTAGTATTCCTAAAATTAATTGCTTCACTTTAAAAATGTCTACATATTTCAAACATACACAAAGGAAAGAGAAAAATATAAACACCCACCCTGACCATTCAGATCAGCTTGACTCATTTGTTTCTTTTTTAAGAAATAAAATGGTACAGTGACTCATGCCTGTAATCCCAGCTCTCTGGGAGGCCCAGGCAGGGGGATCACTTCAGGCCAGGAGTTCGAGACCAGCTTGGTCAACATGGTGAAACCCCGTCTCTACTAAAAACACAAAAATTAGCTGGGCATGGTGGCAGGTGCCTGTAATCCCAAGTACTCCAGAGGCTGAGGCAGGAGAATCGCTTGAACCTTGGAGGCAGAGGTTCTGGTGAGCCAAGCTCGCACCACTGCACTTCAGCCTGGGTGACAAGAGCAAAACTGTCTCAAAATGAAACAAAACTATATATATATATATATATATATATATATATATATATATATATATATATATCCATCTTACTGTATATCAATTATAATGATGGAAAGTTGTTAAAAATAACTAAAGTGTATACTTATTCAGCACCTACTATATATCAGACATGAATGATTCTAGGTGCTTGGGATACATATTGAACAAAATAGATAAAGATCCCAGCTCTTTTGGACATTATAATCTGGTGGGGCTGTTTGTTTTTCACTTGGCAGTTCTCCAACATTATTTTCAACTAATTCAAAATAATCTCCTACAGTTAATAATACTGTATGCTTCAAAATAGCAGAAGGAATGGGTTTTAAATGTTCTCACAACAAAGAAATGTTAAGTATTTGAGCTGAGGGGCATGGTAATTAGCCTGATTTGACCATTCCATAATGTACATAAGTACTGAAACACCACAATGTATCCCATAAATATATAAAATTATTGTCAACTAAAAAATAATGAATAGGCCAGGCATGGTGGCTCATGCCTGTAATCCTAGCACTTTGGGAGGCCAATGTGGGTGGATCACCTGAGGTCAGGAGTTCGAGACCAGCCTGGCCAACACGGCGAACCACGCATGGGTGTGGTGGCGCATACCTGTAATCCCAACTACTCGGGAGTCTGAGGCAGGAGAATCGCTTGAACCCGGCGGGTGGAGGTTGCAGTGAGCCAAGATCGTGCCACTTCACTCCAGCCTGGGCGTAAGAGCAAAACTTCATCTCAAAAAATAAAATAAAATAGGCCAGGCGCAGAGGCTCATGCCTGTAATCCGAGCACACTGGAAGACCGAGGTGGGCGGATCACTTGAGGTCAGGAGTTCGAGACCAACCCAGCCAACATGGTGAAACCCCATCTCTACTAAAAATACAAAAAATTAGCCAGGCATGGTGGAGGGCGCCTGTAATCCCAGCTACCAAGAGGCTGAGGTGGGAGAATTGCTGGAACCCAGGAGTCGGAGGTCGCAGTGAGCCAAGATCATGCCACTGCACTCCAGCGTGGACAACAGAGCGAGAATCCGTCTCAAAAACAGTAATAATAATAATAAAATAAAAATAAAATAAAATATTTCCATAGTTTAGATCTGGTCTTCATTATCTCAAAAGCATAACATGTTCATTCTACTACTTTGTTCACATTGTAATCATCGTCCTAGGCATTCAAATCCTAACTATCCTTTAAGTCCCAGCTCAAGATCCATTTCCACCATAAAGATGAAATATTAGACCCTTAGTAATAGTCTCCTCCTAAGCATTTAGATTTTTGGCATTTAAATCATATTGTGTGATATTGCTTATTACTGTTTCTTTTCACTCTCTTTACCAGATCTGACATCGCTGAGGATAAGTACCATGACTTACACATTTCCTGTATCCTTCACAGTGTGCAGCAAGTGCAAAGCAAAGAGTAGCGATCCTTGGGGTGGGGGTGGGGGTGGGGGTGGGGGGATGATGAGAAATTATTCCAGTGATGGATACATTAAAAGCTCTGACTTTACTACTGTACAATATATCCATGTAACAAAATTATACTTGTACCCCACACATTTATACAAATAATTTTTTTTTTTTTGAGACAGAGTCTTGCTCTGTTGCCCAGGCTAGAGTGCAGTGGTGAGGTCTCAGCTTACTGCAACCTCCGCCTCCTAGGTTGAAGTGATTCTTCTGCCTCAGCCTCCCAAGTAGCTGGGATTACTGGCATGTGCCACCATGCCTGGCTAATTTTTGTATTTTTAGTAGAGACAGCGTTTCACCACATTGGCCAGGCTGGTCTCAAACTACTGACCTCAGGTGATCCTCCTGCCTTGGCCTCCCAAAGTGCTAGAATTATAGGCATGGGCAACCACGCCCGGCTATAAATAAACTTATTTTTATTTTTATTATTTATTTATTTATTTTTGAGATGAAGTCTTGCTCTGTTGCCCAGGCTGGAGTGCAACCTCTACCTCCTGGGTTCAAGTGATTCTGCTGCCTCAGCCTCCCGAGTAGCTGGGGACTACAGGCATGTGCCACCACGCCCGGCTAATGTTTTGTATTTTTAGTAGAGACAGGGTTTCGATGTGTTAGCCAGGATGGTCTCCATCTCCTGACCTCATGATCCGCCCACCTCGGCCTCCCACAGTGCTGGGATTACAAGCGTGAGCCACCATGCCTGGCAAATAAATTTCTTCTAAAAGCTACAAGAGGGTTGGGTGTGGTGGCTCATGCCTGTAATCCCGGCACTTTGGGAGGCCAAGGCAGGCGGATCACCTGAGGTTAGGAGTTCAAGACCAGCCTGGCCAACATGGTGAAACTCCGTCTCTACTAAAAATACAAAAAAAAAAAAAAAAAGAAAAAAAAATAGCCAGGCTTGGTAGCACACGCCTGTAGTCCCAGCTACTTGGGAGGCTGAGGCAGGAGAATCACTTGAACCAGGGAGATGGAGGTTGCAGTGAGGGGAGATCACGCCAATGTGCTCTAGTCTGGGTGACAGAGATTCTGTCTCAAAAAAAAAAAAAAAAAGCTACAAGAGAAGTCTTACTTAAAGGATTTCACTGAGTTTCCAGTAATAGGTTATTGTTCTCTAGGAAATTACAAATACTTTTTTCCATCATTTTACAGTTATAAGGTACTGACAAATTGCTTTTACTTGTTTTATGACAGCAAAAGAGAATGAAGATAGAATAGACCTCAAATTCAAACTGAGTTTTACTGGAATACTGGCTACATCACTTTTGAGCTAGGTGACCTTGTATATGTTATTTAGCTTCTCTGAGTCCCAGCTGCCTAACTTATAGCATGGACATAATTATCCCCCTCAGGTTGTTCTGAGGACTGAAGATACTAAGAATACAACAGTGTTATACTCCTTTTTCTTTCCTCATCCCCCACCATAATCTGTTATAGAGATTGGTAAGAAACATCTTCAAGCTCACGCCTGTAATCCCAGCACTTTGGGAGGCCGAGGTGGGCAGATCGCCTGAGATCAGGAGTTTGAGACCAGCCTGGCTAACATGGTGAAACCCTGTCTCTACTAAAAACACAAAAATTAGCCAGGCATGGTGGCGCATGCCTGTAATCCCAGCTACTTGGGAGGCTGAGGCAGGAGAATCACTTGAATTGGGAGGTGGAGGTTGCAGTGAGCCGAGATCACGCCACTGCACTCTAGCCTGGGCAACAAGAGTGAGACTCTGTCTCAAAAAAAAAAAAAAAAGAAAAAGAAAAAGAAACATCTTCAGACTTAATCTAAAAAGTCCTAATTTTGACATGATTATGAAATTTTACTTTTGATTTCACGAATTAAACTTTTTAAAAGCCCGGCACAGTTGCTCACGCCTGTAATCCCAGCACTCTGGGAGGCTGAGGCGGGCGGATCACCTCAGGCCAGGAGTTCTAGACCAGCCTGGCCAACATGATGAAACCCTGTCTCTATTAAAAACACAAAAATTAGCCGTGCATGGTGGTGGGCACCTGTAATCTCAGCTACTTGGGAGGCTGAGGCAGGAGAATCACTTGAAGCTGGGAGGAGGAGGTTGCAGGGAGCTGAGCCCCCGCCATTGCACTCCAGCCTGGGCAACAAGAGCAAAACTCCATCTCAAAAAAACAAAAACTTAAAAAAAAATGTTTTATATACTTATTGAACCACCCACCAATGTGTGCAAGCCACTGATTTAAAACTAATGACAAAAGTGTCAGTATCAGTATGACAGTTTCTAGTAGCACAATTTTATGGACTAATAAGGAAAAAACAAACTGAATTACTAATTGTAAGCATGGCATAGAATTATGATGTAAAAATTAATTTTAACATGGAGACACCACAAAGTCACCATTACCGCAGTCATTTTCTATCATAAATTTAGTAACATGCAAATGAACCAACTAAAATTTATTTATATCAATTGAGTGAGCTGCTACAAATGTATCACAGTCATATGACATGAATGAACCTAAGTCATGTACTATACTGCAGAGAATAAAAAAAGCCATCTGACAAATATCCAAGTTATCAGCATAAAGTTGGCACAAGAATGAACAGATGAAAAGAACTGCCTTCATTTTTCTTCGGTCTACTTCCAACTATCACCATCATCTTACATTGATATAGCATATCACAGTTTACCGAACATCTTCTCAAATACTATCCCAAAAAGTGCAGTGATGAAATCAATCAGGAGACAGAGAAGACTGAGTTTTATGGAACATGTCCACTAACAGGAAAGGCCAGTCAAAATAGATTTGGACTACTAAGAATGTGGTATTTTAAAATGCTTACGTTAGGCCAGGCACAGTGGTGCACCCCTGTAATCTCAGCACTTTAGGAGGCTCAGGTGGTGGGAATCTCTTGATGCTAGGAGTTCAAGATCAGCCTAGGCAACACAGTGAGACCCTGTCACTACTACAAATAAGAACATTAGCCAGGCATCATGGCAAACGTCTGTAGTCCTGGCTAGTCAGGATGCTGAGGCAGGAGAGTTGCTTGAGTCCAGGAGTTTAAGGCTGCAGTGAACTATAATTGTGCCACTGAATTTCAGCCTGGGTAAGAGTGAGACCCTGTCTCAAAAAAAAAAAAAAAAAAAATTAATAAATTGGGAGTCTGAGACTCTTCTGACTTGGGAGACTGTCTGATTTCTTTTTTAAAATCTATAAACAAAAATTTAAAATAAGTGTATAAGAATCTGAATATAAAAACTACATCTTAAGAATTAAATAGGGCTGGGTGCGGTGGCTCATGCCTGAATCCCAGCACTTTGGGAGGCTGAGGCAGGTGGACCACTTGAGGTCAGAAGTTCAAGACCAGCCTGGCCAATATGGTGAAACTCCATCTCTACTAAAAATACAAAAATTGGCCAGGCATGGTGGCTCATGCCCGTAATCTCAGCTCTTTAGGAGGCTGAGGCGGGTGGATCACGAGGTCAGGAGATGGAGACCATCCTGGCCAACATGGTGAAACCCCGTCTCTATTAAAATACAAAAAAAAATAGCCAGGTATAGTGGCGTGCGCCTATAGTCCCAGCTACTCAGCAGGCTGAGGCAGGGGAATCGCTTGAACCCAGGAGGCGGACATTGCAGTGAGCCGAGATCACGCCACTGCACTCCAGCCTGGTGACAGAGTGAGTAAAAAAAAAAAACAACAAAAAACAAAAATTAGCCAGGCATGATGGCACACGCCTGTAGTCCCAAGCTACTCAGGAGGCTGAGGCGGGAGAATCGCTTGAACCCGGAAGCAAAGGTTGCAGTGAACTGAGATTGCACTACTGCACTCCAGCCTGGATGTCGAAGTGAAACTCTGTCTAAAAATAAATAAATAAATAAATAAACAAAAGAATTAAATGTGGCTGGACACAGTGGCTCATGCCTGTAATCCCCACACTTTGGGAGGCCCAAGGGGGCAAATCACTTGAGGCCAGGAGTTTGAGACCAGGCTGGCCAACCTGGCAAAACCCTGTGCCTACTAAAAATACAAAAACTAGCCGGACGTGGGAACACACACCTATAATCCCCAGCTACTCGGGAGGCTGAGGCACGAGAATTGCTTGAACCTGGGAGGCAGAGGTTGCAGTGAGCTGAGATCATGCCACTGTACTCCAGTTCAGCCTGGGTGACAGAGTGAGACCCTGTCTCAAAAAAAAAAAAAGAGAAGAAAAAAAAAGAATTAAATGCATAATTAAAAATTAAATTAAAAATTGCACATTACAATTTTATTTTTTAAAACATATATTTCATGGTCAAAAGGAATTTGAGGAGAAAAAATGCAAAAACAAACAAAAAACTGGCCACTTTTTTTTAGATTATGGATTTGTATCAAGGTATTATACAATCAGACATGCTACCTTTATATAGAAGCTTACGTTTCTTTTTAAGGATAAGGCCATTCCAGGTATTAAACACGAGGGAAAAGAAACCAATGGATCACATTTCCATGTTGGGTTCCTTTTACTTAGATCTTCTATGGAATGTGATTAGGCCCCCAAGCCTCCAAAAGCAACCAACTATGATAGCATCAGAACCAAATACTTAAAAGACAGTTCATTTGTATATTTTGTGAATTCTGGTTTACTATATACTAAGTGATAGAAAATGAAATCTTTTGGAAAGTTTCAGCTTATTTTAGCTGTAATCATAGTAATGAAGAAAATATATTTTTGTCCTTTCCTAGAAATTTTTAATGGGCTACTTATATACTCCAAGGACCAAAGTGGTAGTGACAACAGTAATTTAAATGAGAAAATCCTATGGGAAAGGTGACACTTAGGCAGAGACTGGCAAGGTTACTTATTGAGTCATTCCAGGGCTGACCAAGACATTCCCATTCCAGGACATTCTCATTCCAGGGCTCCATACTGAAATGTTATCTTATGTCACAAAGGGCCCTCCCCCCTTTTTTTTAATAAGTATTTTAATTCAGTTTCAGAAAAAAGTGGTACATGACTTGGATGAGAAAGCAAAAAATTAAGAGGCTTTTCTAGAAATGCAAGAAAAAAAACTTTAATATATTCAATAATTTTCTGGATCTTCCTCTTGGGTCAAAAGCTATATATTTTCTCCTCAAAGCAGCTGCTCCAAGAACTAACTAGTCCTCTTTAGCTCTCTCTAGCTGGGACAGACTAATTCTGCTCCACTCCCACCTCTCTTCTTTCAGTAACACTGCGTAGGTGTTAATGGCCTGGCTCTCACCAATGAACAGAACTGTCCTTTAAGCCAGCAACTCACAGGCAGTGGTGCCCAAAGCCTCACCCCCAGTCCCCAGGGCAGAAGCCACAGAGCTGGCATTGTTTCCAATATCCCAGGAAGGAGGAGCCAAAAGCTGACCTTCAGCACAAATCAAAGCCCAATATGGAGAGAGAATAACTGCTTCTAGGCCCAGATTAGGCAAGCTGTGGGCAAAAAAAGGGGAGTTTTTGCAGCCACCCCATCTTTAGAAACAAGGGGAAAACTAGACCCTTTTCCACCATTACGGTCTACAAGGTACTGTACTGTTCCAAGGGGATCTGAAAGCGCAAAAGAATCTAAACAAATAAGGAGAACTTTTCCCAGGGTGGAGATAAGACTGACAAACTGAAAGATGGGTGAATACAATAATGTGTAGGAAGATGATGCTGGTCACCTCAGTTCTTCACACAGCTGCCAGCCCTACAAATAACACAGTAAGAACCAGGACAACCACTCCAGACTGGTATAGCTGGGGAATCTTCAGGCCTTTTCCTAGGTCCCACATCAAGTGTTGGATCCCATTCCAGGTATGATACATGAGAGGGAAGACGAGTGCAAACTTAGTTGTGTCCATCAGTGCTGGCCCCAGACACAGGGACCAATGAGTTCCAAGTAAGACTTAAACTTTCCTGGGAGTAACAGGGCTGACATGCCAAAAAGAGACCCCTGTGCTCAAAGCAATACCAGAGCCATGGTGGCAGATGGACATCGACATAGGAAGACACCAACTCTAGATAGTGACGTGGGGAGATACGGGACGGTTTGAACCTGTGTTCTTATTCCAGAACCATTCCATCTCTTCTTTGGCCATGATTCCCAAAGGAACAGCATTTCTGATACAAAGCTGAGGGCTAAAGTGCGCTCGGAGGCAATGACCACTCCAACATGTCTCAGCAAGAGTGCAGCCATCTTGGGTTCTGGTCTGGACGGAAATGCAAAGCTCATTTTAAATATAATCTCCTTTAGCTGGGCACGGTGGTTTAAGCCTGTAATCCCAGCACTTTGGGAGGCCAAGACGGGCAGATTACCTGAGGTCAGGAGTTCGAGACCAGCCTGACCGACATGGTGAAACCCTGTCTCTCTCTACTAAAAATACAAAATTAGCTGGGTGTGGTGGTGCATACCTGTAATCCCAACTACTTGGGAGGCTGAGGCAGGAGAATTGCTTGAACCCAGGAGGCAGAAGTTGCCATGAGCCAAGATTGGGTCATTGCACTCCAACCTGGGTGGCAAGAACAAAACTCTATCTCAAATAAATAAAAACATACATACATACAATCTCCTTTAGAAAACCTTCCATGATTCCTCCAATAGGTGTGAATATAAAATTATTAACATGAGAAGAGATCAGTTAGGTACTCTTAAATTTTCAATGCCTTCATTGCCACAATTCTAGTCCCAACCACCATCAACTCTAGGTGGTCTCCTCATTTCCATTCTTGTCCCCATCCAATCCAGTTTCTACACAGCAGTCAGGACGACTTTTTGAAATAAAAAGTTGGCCAGGCACGGTGGCTCACGCCTGTAATTCCAGCACTTTGGGAGGCTGAAGTGGGCAGATCAGAAGGTCTGGAGTTCGAGACCAGCCTGGCCAACACAGTGAAACCCCGTCTCTACCAAAAATACAAAAAACTAGCCAGGCATGGTGGCGCATGCCTGTAATCCCAGCTACTCGGGAGGCTGAGGCAGGAGAATCGTTTGAACCCGGGAGGCAGAGGTTGCAGTGAGCGGAGATTGCACCACAGCACTCCTGCCTGTGCGAGACTCCGTCTCAAAAAAAAAAAAAAGTTGTTTGTAGTAAGACTTACCTTGCTTTAAACTTTTTTTTTTTCTGACGGAGGTAAACCTTTAAACGACTTCCTATTACTGTTAAAATAACATCCAAGTCATTTGGGTAATATTACGGGAGAGTTCATTGTACTGTTCTCTCCCTACATTTGAGTGGTTTGAAAAGTTTTCTATAAAAGTTTAAAAAAGAAAAAGAAACAGAAAAAGCTGGTCCCAAATCCTTAACATTGCTTAAAAGGCCCTGCATCAGCCGGGCACGGTGGCTCACGTCTGTAATCCCAGCACTCTGGGAGGCCGAGGTGGGTGGATCACCAGAGGTCAGGATTTTGAGACCAGTCTGACCAACACAGTGAAACTCCATCTCTACTAAAAATACAAAAATTAGCCGGGCATGGTGGCGCGCATTATAGTCCCAGCTACTCGGGAGGCTGAGGCAGGAGAATCGCTTGAATCCGGAAGAGATTGCAGTGAGCCAAGATCGTGCCGCTGCACTCCAGCCTGGGTGACAGAGCGAGACTCTGTAACAAAAAAAAAAAAAAAAAAAAAAGCCCTGCATCATCTCTTTGGCCCTAACCTACTTTATCACAGCACCCTTTTGCTTTCCACACAACAACTGCTGAAGTTCCTGAAATGACCATCTTCCCTAGCCTCCGCGCCATCTATTTCCTTTGCCTGAGCCTTTCTTCTCTCCTTTGGGAGTCATCTTCCCCTAATTCCTATTTATCCCTAATATCTAAGCTCAAAGATTACTTTCCTAGGAAAACTTTCCCAGCTTGGATAAGTCCCCCTGTTACCTTCTCTCACAAACAACTTACATTCTTTATTTTAGCCTCTGTCTTTGCTTATTGGCATTTATTTGTGTGATTATTTATTTTATTTTACTTTTTGAGATGGAGTCCCGCTCTGTCACCCAGGCTGGAGTGCAGTGGCACCATCTTGGCTCACTGCAACCTCTACCTCTCGCCGGCTCAAGCTATTCTCCTGCCTCAGTTTTTCTGAGTAGCTGGGATTACAGACGCCCCCCATCACGCCCAGCTAATTTCTGTATTTTTAGTAGAGAGAGACGGGGTTTCACCATGTTAGCCAGGCTGGTCTAGAACTGCTGACCTCAGGTGATCTGCCCACCTCAGCCTTTCAAAGTGCTGGGATTACAGGCGTGAGCCATCGCTCCGGGCCCTGATTATTTGCTTAATATCTGTTTTGCCCAATGACACTGTAGAGTCTAAAGGCAGAGTCTGTAATTGTCACTATTGTATCCTTAGCATTCAGTACACAGTAGGTACTAAAATTTTTTTGAATGAAAAAAATTAAATCAAGTGTATGCTAATTATTATACATTATTAAATTAAAATGCAAGTAAAGTACCCTCCACAGTGCCCAGCTGAAAACAACTGCTCAGTAAGTGTGAGCTTCCATTAACACTGGACTGCAGTCAGCCTCATATCATTAGTGTGCTTAACCACTCCCTCCTGCACACATTTTTTACACATTTTTGGACTCCGCCAGTGCCTAGCACTAACATTAGTGTTATAAAAAGATACTCTGTATTCACTGAATTTAATTGCCTTTTAAATAAATCCGACTTTCAGCATATTTAGAAAGAAGACACAACATGAACTTTTAAAGTTTCCCCCCTAAAAACAAACTGCAACCGGCCAGACTTCATACTACCACATTATTTTCTGCATTCGCATCAAAACAAATCAGCAGTTTCCTATCTTTACTTATCTCAAATTACGTACATAGGAACTCAACGCTGGATGCCACACGAACATTCATCATTGCTGACAAGTAATAAACTCTTTTATTACTGGCAGCGAAAAGGAAAAAAAAAAGGCACAAAGAAGAAATTAAGGAAACGTGAAATCAGCGAACACCAGGCCTTCAAAACATCAGAGAAAGTGAGTGGTGGGAGTCGGGTGAAGTCACTAATAGGCATACTTTGTATCACTGGACTGCGATCGTGCAGCGTTCGCCTTTGAAAATAGAAACATTGTGTTGCGCATAACTGTAAGTTTCGGAACGCCCTGCGAGAGAACCAGGAGCTGTGCCTTCAGCTAGCTCGCAAGTCAAGCCGCAGGCGAGTCAGGGGCTCGGGGTCGCCGCTCACCTGGGCTGGGCGGGACCCTGGCTCGGGCTCCGCCGCCGGCGCCCCTTCCCGAGTCGCAAACACGCGGCCCTCCGGAGCGAGACTCCCCCCGACACCGACGATCCGCGGCGGCCAAGCCACAGGCCGCGACCCCTCGGCCCCAGCCGGCAGGCGACCGCCCCGCCCCGCCCTCACCCCGCCGGACGCGGCGCGGCCCCGGGACGCTCACCTCCGGGCACGGCCTCCCGGCCTCGGCCTCACTCAGCTCAGGCACCGCAGGCACCGTTTGGCCGCGGGCTCCGTTTGGCTGGAGCCCTTCAGAGCCGGAGCGCCGCCGCCCCAGACCGCCTCAGGTTCCGCGGCCGCGCCGCTGAGATCCCGCCAGCCTCTCTCGGTCTTCGCCAGGCGCCCAAGCGCGCGCCGACGCCGGCTCCGCGCAGACCCGAGGAGCGCGCGCGGACGCGGGGGCGCGCCGAGGGCGGGGCTTGCCGCGGCCGGGCGCTTCAAGTCCCGGCGGGAACGGCGCTAATGGCCGCCTCCCCTTCCCACCACTGGCCCGGCGGCTAGCTGCCTTCATGGGTAGGGGAGATGCAGGCAGCTCGGTGTGTGCTCACCAGAGAACCCAGAGTGTGCTTACCTGGGTACCTCCTCAGCCTCAGAAACCATGGAGAGACATCCCTGCATTCTGACAATGTTGAACTTGACCTGAGCCCTGTGGACAACGAAGTTGAAGAAACCCCCACCCACCTTTTTTTTTTTTTTTTTTTGAGACTAAATCTCGCTCTTGTCCCCCAGGTTGGAATACAATGGCGCGATCTTGGCTCACCGCAACCTCCGCCTCCCGGATTCGAGCGATTCTCCTGCCTCAGCCTCCGGAGTAGCTGGGATTACAGGCGCCTGCCAGCACGCCCGGCTAATTTTTGTATTTTTAGTAGAGACGGGGTTTCACCATGTTGGCCAGGCTGGTCTTGAACTCCTGACCTCAGGTGATCCGCCCGCCTTGGTCTCCCAATGTGCTGGGATTACAGGCGTGAGCCACCGCGCCCGGCCCCTTTGTGTTCCTAAAAGGACTTACTACACGCAACCGCCCTTCCGCATGTGACTTTGTCAGGACTCAAGGATGCCCCCGTCGTTAGCTGTGACAAGGTCAGGCCCAGACCCTCTAAATTCCAGTTCTTCGCCTCGCAAATAGTTAGCTGACCTGCCTGTACTCACGATGTGGACAAATCCCGGCTGCCTTGACTTGACAGGACTTGAGTGAAGCAGCTCTCCCTGGGCCTCTCTACACGGTGACCGAGCCTCAGCCGCAGCCAGCGAGCAGCCCTCCTCATCCACCGCCTGAAAATAGACGGACCCCAGGGAAACAGTCTCTGTATAGTCTCATCGCTGCCACCTCCAGTCTTCTCCCCACTTCCCCACACCCGGGTCTTTCTAGCCCTGTTCACTCATCTCTGTAAAAGGAAAGCCCTTTTCTGCCTGACCCAGGAGATCGCTGCAGATCTCATGGTTGGAGAGTTCTCCCGGTTGCTGTAGCCTCCCCCAATCCCCACTCTCAGTTGCAATAGTTTCTTTCCCTTTTCTTGGATCTCTTCCACTGAACTCTCTCCTTACGTATATCCAGATTTGTTTTTTATTTTATAGTCCAGCATTCTCCCAATTGCAACAGTCCTTCTTCCTATTGCAATAGTTCTCCACCCTTATTGCAATAGTCCTTTTCCCCCCTGTTGCAATAATCCTTTCCGAATAAAGTCTCGGTTTGCCTAAATCGGGATTTATTTGTAAGTCTTTAGTGCGGGGACTCAGATTGAGATTGATCCTCACCTACAGGCCCATGCCGTTCCCCCCACCACCACCTCCCTCATCTCCTGTTCAGTGATTTTGGGAGCCTGTGGTGAGTTCAAATCTCACTGCTCATGAGACCGTGTCTGTTGAAGCACAATAAGGAGTTAAATTGATCCCATTAGGCAAAGAGACTTTTCTTTGACCATTCTGTGAGAGCTCTTCCGATTTTTTGGTCCCAGCACCATTTAATGAAGAGAGGATTCTTCCCTTGTCAAAAATCAATTGACCATGGATGTATAAATTTATTTCTGTACTCTCAATTCTATTCCATTGATTATGTATCTTATCTTTATGCTAGTACCATACTATTTTGATTACTGTAGCTGTATAGTAGCTGTATACAGCTGTATAGTAGCTGTATAGAAATCAGGAAGTTTGAGTCCTCCAACTTTGCTCCTCTTTTTCAAGATTGTTTTGTCGCTTGCAGTTCTGTATGAATTTTAGCTCAGCTTTTCCATTGCTGTTAAAAAAAAAAAAAAAGGGAGGGGGGGGCCACTGGGATTTTGACAGGGATTGCTTTGAATTGGTAGATCAATTTGAGGAGTATTGATACCTTCAATTTTTTTTTTGAGATGGAGTTTTGCTCTTGTTGCCCAGGCTGGAGTGCAATGGCATGATCTCGGCTCACTATAACCTCCGCCTCCCAGGTTCTAGTGATTCTCCTGCCTCAGCCTCCCAAGTAGCTGGGATTATAGGCATGCACCACCATGCCCAGCTAATTTTTGTATTTTTAGTAGAGACAGGGTTTCACCATGTTGGTCAGGCTGGTCTTGAACTCCCGACCTTAGATGATCCACCCGCCTCGGCCTCCCAAAGTGCCGGTATTACAGGTGTGAGCCAACACACCCAGCCGGAGTATTGATATCTTAACAATACTGGTGCGATGACTCACTTTATATATAAAGTCTTCAAATCCTTAAGCATGAATATTTTTGCATTTATAGTCGTGCGCCACATAACAACCTTTCGGTCCATGACTTACAGCATATGTGATGGTGGTCACATAAGATTATAAGGCCATATTTTTACTGTATCTTTTCTATGTTTAGATACACAAATACCATCATGTTACAATTGTCTACAGTATTCAATACAGTAACATGCTGTCCAGGTTTGTAGCCCGGGAGCAAGGCTATGCCATATTGCCTAGATGTGTAGTACACTATACCATCCAGGTTTGTGTAAGTATACTCTGTGATGTTCACACAACGACGAATTCACTTACACGACACATTTCTCAGAAGGTGCCCCCATGGTTAAGCACTACATGACCATACTTAGACCTTCTTTCATTTCTTTCAGCAGTGTTTTATAGTTTTCCACGTACAAGTCTCGTACCTCTTTGGTTAAATATATTTCAAAGTATTTTATTCTTTTTGATGCTATTGTAAAAGGAGTTGATTTATTTCCTTTTTAGATTTTTTATTGCCAGTATTTGGAAATACCACTGATTTTGTGTGTTGATCTTGTATCTAACAACTTTGCTGAATTCACTTATTAGCTCTAATCATTTGCTAGAGATGGGGTCTCCGTACATTGCCCAGGTTGATATCGAACTCCTGGGATCAAGTAATCCTTCCACCACAGTGTCCTGAGTAGCTAGGACCACAGACGTGTGCCACCATGCCCGACCAATTAAAAAAAAATTTTTTTTGTAGAGATGGAGTTTCACTGTGTTGCCCAGGCTGGTCTCGAACCCCTGGCCTCAAACTATCCTCCTGCTTGGGCCTCCCAAAGCACTGGGATTACAGGTATGAGATACCACACTTGGCCATAGTTTTATTTATTTCTTTCTAATGTGGATGCCTTTTATTTCTTTTTATTGTCTAACTGCTCTAGCTAGAACTTCCAGTACAATGTTGAATAGAAATGAAGAGGCTGGGTGTGGTGGCTTACACCTGTAATCTCAGCACTTTCGGAGGCTGAGGCAGGAGAATTGCTTGAGCCCAGGAATTTGAGACCAACCTGGGGCAACATAGCGAGACTCTATTACTAGACTTAAGAAAAACAGAAAAGAAATGATGAGGCCGGGCACGGTGGCTCATGCCTTTAATCCCAGCCCTTTGGGAGGCTTAGGCAGGTGAATCACTTGAGGCCAGGAGTTCGAGACGAGCCTGGGCAACATGGTGAAACCCCGTCTGTACTAAAAATACAAAAATTAGCCAGGCGTGGTGGCAGGCACCTGTAATCCCAGCTACTCGGGAGGCTGAGGCAGGAGAATTGCTTGAACCCAGGAGGCAGAAGTTGCAGTGAGCCGAGATCACGCCACTGCACTCCAGCCTGGGTGACAGAGCAAGACTCTGTCTCAAAAAATGATGAGAGTGGGCTTCTTTGTCTTGTTCCTAATTTTAGACAAAAAGCTTTCAGTCTCTCTCACCATTGAGTATGATGTTAGGTGTATGTTTTTCTTTTTCTTTGAGACAGAGTCTCTCTCCATCCCCACAGCCCATAGTAATCTCTATTCTACTTTCTTTCTCTCTTTTTTTTTTTGAGGTAGGATTTTCACCAGGTTGCCCAGGCTAGTCTCAAACTCCTGGACTCAAAACAATCCTCCCACCTTGGCCTCCCAAAGTGCTATGATTACAGGTCTGAGCCACCACGCACAGCCTATTCTACTTTCTGTCTCTATGAATTTGCCCATTCTAGATACCTCATATACGTGGACTCCTACAATATTTGTTCTTTTTTGTCCGGCTTATTTCACTTAGCATAATTATTTTCAAGTTCATTCATGTTATAGCATGTGTCAGTATATCATTCCCGTTTATGGTTGAATAAGATTCCATTGTATGTATATATTACATTTTGCTTATCCATTCATATGTTGACGGCCATTTGGGTTGCTTCCACCTTTCTGCTATCTTGAATAATGCTGGTATGGACTTTGGTATACAAGTATTTGATTGACTCCTTACTTTCAATTTTTTAAAATTTTTGTTTTATTGTGGCAAGAATATTTATTTATTAATTTAATTTATTTATTTTTGAGACAGCCTCCCTCTGTCACCCAGGCTGGAGTGCATTGGTGCAATCTTGACTCACTGCAACCTCCCCCTCCCAGGTTCAAGGGATTCTCTCACCTCAGCTTTTCTGACTGGCTGGGATTAAAGGTGCCCCCCAACCATGCCCAGCTAATTTTTGTATTTTTAGTAGAGATGGGGTTTCGCCATGTTGACCAGGCTGGTCTTGAACTCCTGACCTCTGGTGATCCACCCACCTCGGCTTCCCAAAGTGCTGGGATTACAGGTGTGGGCCACCGTGCCTGGCGTTTTCAATTTTTTTGAGTATATACCTAGAAGTGGAATAGGGTATTTCTGTGTTTAACTTTTCAAGGACCAGTCATATTGTTTTCCAAATAGCAGCACCATCTTACATTCCTACCAGCGATGTACTAGTGTTCTAATTTCTCTACATCTTCCCAACACTTGTTATTTTCTCTGTGTGTGTATGTGTATGTGTGTTTATAACTATCCCGCCCTAATGAGTATGAAGTGTATCTCACTATGGTTTTGATTTGCATTTCTCTGATGACTAGTGATGCTGAATATCTTTTCATGCGCCTATTGGCTATTCGTATATTTTTTTTGGAGAAACGCCTATTTAACTCCTTGCGAATTTTCAAATAGGTTTTTTTTGTTGTTGTTGTTGTTGAGTTACAGGAGTTTTTGCGTTTTAAAAAATACATATTATGGATAGTAATCCCTTATCAGATATGTGATTTGCAAATCTTTCCTCTGATTCTGTGAATTGTCTTTTCACTTTGGGGTTAGTATCCTTTGATACAGAAGTTTAAAATTTCAGTCAAATTAATTTATTCTTGTTTTGCCTGTACTTTTGGTGTCATATCCAAGAAACTATTGCCAAATACAATGTCATGAAGATTTCTCTGTTTTTTTCTAAGCATTTTATAGCTTTAGCTCTGACATTTAGGTGTTTGCTCCATTTTTTTGCTTGTTTTTTTGAGACAGGGTCTTGCTTTGTTGCTTGGGCTGGAGTGCAGTGGTGCGATCTCGGCTCACTGCAACCTCTGCCTCCCAGGTTCAAGTGATTCTCCTGCCTCAGCCTCCTGAGTAGCTGGGATTACAGGTATGCACCGCCACACCCAGCTAATTTTTTGTACTTTTAGTAGAGACGGGGTTTTACCACGTTGGCCAGGCTGGTCTTGAACTCTTGACCTCAGGTGATCTGCCCACCTTGGGCTCCCAAAGTGCTGGGATTACAGGCATGAGCTACCACACCCAGCCTTGTTTTTCTATACTATATTTATCTCCACTCTATTCTTTATTTCCTTCTGGTAGCTTGGGTTTAGTTTGCTCTTTTTCTAATTTCTTTCTGTGTTGACTTTTTAGTTATAAGTGTACAGACTGAGTAATTTGTTTATTAGATACTCTCCAAAGTACTTTTCACAGTAGCTATTTCATAGGTACATAATAGAGTTCAGTGAATGCTTTTTGAATTCACATAGAAGGACGATGGGTGGCACTCAGCAATCTGCTCCTCATCCTGCATCCTCTTTACCAATTGGTAGCCCTGCCAACCATCCAGTTCAGGACAGAAACCAAGTGAGCATCTTTGAGCATTTCCTTCCCTTGAGATGAATATCTAGGTCAGCACTGTCCAGTAGAACTTTCTGTGATGATGGAACTGTTTCTGCATTGTCCAACACATTGGCTACTAGCAACATTTGCTTATTGAATATTTGAAATGTGGTAGTGTGACTGAGGAAATGAATTTTTAATTTTTGAAATTTAAATAACTACATGTGGCTAGTAATCACATTGGACAGTGCACAATTCTAATGTCAACAATTTTTTTTTTTTATTTTAACACAGAGTCTTGTTCTGTTGCCCAGGCTGGAGTGCAGTGGTGCGATCTCACTGCAACCTCCGCCTCCCGCATTCAAGCGATTATCCTGCCTCAGCCTTCTAAGTAGCTGGGATTACAGGCGTGCACCACCACACCCAGCTAATTTTTGTATTTTTAGTAGAGACAGGGTTTCACCATGTTGGCCAGGCTGGTCTCAATCTCCTGACTTCAGGTGATCTGCTCCTCTCGGCCTCCCAAAGTGCTGGGATTACAGGCATGAGCCACCACTCCCGGCCTAATGTCAATAGTTCTGATTTTGCCTCTTGATTTCGTGTTTCTCAAATGTTTCATGGCTCTTAAAGATGCAGTCCCATGGATTGCATCCTACACCCACCAAATCAGGACCATCTCTTCATTGATGGCCTCCCTATAGACTTGCAGTGTTTCACTTTAGCTCCATTGGAGGTACAGTTTTGTTTTTTGTTTCTGTTTTTGTTTTTTTTCTTTTGAGACAGGGTCTTGCCCTGCTGCCCAGGCTGGAGTGCAGTGGAGTGACCAAGGCTCACTACAGCCTCAAACTCCTGGGCCCAAGTGATCCTCCTGCCTCAGCCCCCTGAGTAGCTGGGACTACAGGTACTTACATCATGACCAACTAATTTATGGCTCTTGCTTAGGTGTCATGTTTAAGAATACTTTATTCTTTTATTATCTATTTATTTATTTGAGATAGAGTTTTGCTCTTGTTGCCCAGGCTGGAATGCAATGGTGCGATCTCAGCTCACTGCAACCTCTGCCTCCCGGGTTCAAGCGATTCTCCTGCCTCAGACTCCCGAGTAGCTGGGATTACAGGCATGCACCACCAGGCCCAGCTAATTTTGTATTTTTAGTAGAGATGGGGTTTCTCCATGTTGGTCAGGCTGGTCTCGAACTCCTGACCTCAGGTGATCCGCCTGCCTTGGCCTCCCAAAGTGCTGGGATTACAGGCATAAGCCCCCACGCTTGGCCTATTCTTTTTATTTTTATTAGATCTATTTCATGATTTTAAAATTTGTTTTGTCATTTTTTGCTCATTAGTTCTTTTTAATCTCTCCTTTATTTTTTAATTTAATTTAATTTTATTTTTTTGAGATGGAGTCTCGCTCTGTTGCCCAGGCTGAAGGGCAGTGGTGCGATCTTGGCTCACTGCAACCTCCACTTCCTGGGTTCAAGCAATTCTCCTGCGTCAGCCTCCTGAGTAGCTGGGACTACAGGCGTGTGCCACCATGCCCAGCTAATTATTTTATATTTTTAGTAGAGACGGGGTTTCACTGTGTTAGCCAGGATAGTCTCTATTTCCTGATCTTGTGATCCACCTGCCTCGGCCTCCCCAAGTCTGGGATTACAGGCGTGAGCCACCGCGCCTGGTTGTCATGATGATTCTTTTGTGATTTTCTGTTTTTACTGTGAATCATATTCATGGGACTTTATTTTTGTGCTTTCTGTTGAAGGTATATTCTGTCAGAGATGATTTATGTTTGCTTCAGCTTTATGCTTAGGATCACTTTTGACTCAAGTCTATTTAACTTAAATTATTGTCCTGAGGGTCTTCATACCTAGCCTTGGTGAATTCAGGCTGTAAACCTGTTGATCAGTGTGTTGTTATGAATTCTCAAGGGACCCTCCCAACCCTGCACCCCCACCCACCGCTCCCCACTCTTAGTGTCAGTGTTGGGAAAGGTGGGCAGTTCTCCTTGCAGTCTCCTGGAGATGAGTGAAGGTTGGTGCATTTATTTCTAATTCACTCATACTTAGCTTTATCCTTATTGTAGCAGGATTTTGCGGGATGTTTGCATTAGATTCCATATATTTAGCAGATTTTAGGCCTTACTACTGTCTTTTGCATTTCTTTTTTTTTTTTTCCCCCAAGACGGAGGGGGAAAAATCCTGCTCTGTCACCCAGGATAGAGTGCAGTGGCATGATCTCAGCTCACCGCAACCTCTGCCTCCAGGGTTCAAGCAATTCTCCTGCCTCGGCCTCTCGACTAGCTGGGATTACAGGTGCCCACTACCATGCCTGGCTAATTTTTGTATTTTTAGTAGAGATGGGGTTTCACCATGTTGGCCAGGCTGGTCTCGAACTCCTGACCTCATGATCCGCCTGCCTCAGCCTCCCAAAGTTCTGGGATTACAGGCGAGAACCACTGCACCTGGCCTGCTTTTTCTTTTTCTTTTTTTTTTTTGAGACGGAGTCTCGCTCTGTCACCCAGGCTGGAGTGCAATGGCGTGATCTCGGCTCACTGCAATCTCTGCCTCCTGGGTTCAAGTGATTCTCCTGCCTCAGTCTCCTGAGTAGCTGGGATTACAGTCGCCTGCCATCACGCCTGGCTAATTTTTGTATCTGTAGTAGAGACGGGGTTTCACTATGTTGCTCAGGCTGGTCCTGAATTCCTAAACTCATGATCCACCCACCTTGGCCTCCCAAAGTTCTGGGATTACAGGTGTGAGCCACTGTGCCCGGCCTTGCATTTCTTCACGCAGAGAAAAGGTCAAATTCACTGGGGTTGAGCAAATGCATTGGAAATGAAAGCTGTCTTTGGAGCCCTTGCTTACTTGTTCTGGGTTCCTGCTATGACTTAGCTTTTGATCTGAGCATTCCTTAGTATCTTGCCACCTCTTGCATGTACTGCAGGTTTTTTTTTTAAGTTCAAAAAATATTTAACCAACGTTTTAGTTATTTCCTCTAGTATGTACTGTAGAAAACAGGCAACTCTTCCATATCTCTTTTCTTTTCTTATTTTTGTTTCTGAGACAGGGTCTCACTCTGTTGCCCAGGTTGGAGTGCAGTGGTGAGGTCTTGGCTTACTGCAGCCTCCGCCTTTCAGGTTCAAGTGATTCTCATGCCTTAGCCTCCGAATATCTGCGATTACATTATAAGTACCCACCACCAGGCTCATTTTTGTATTTTCAGTAGAGATGGGGTTTCGTCATGTTGGCCAGGCTGATCTTGAACTCCTGGCCTCAAGTGATCTGCCTGCCTTGGCCCCCAAAGTGCTGGGGTTACAGGCAAGAGCCACTGAGCCCAGCCCCCCTTTTTTTTTTGAGATGGAATCTTGCTCTGTCGCCCAGGCTGGAGTGCAGTGCAGAGTGATCTTGGCTCACTGCAACCTGAGGCAAAGAATTGCTGAGTAGCTGAGTAGCTGAGATTACAGGTGCCCGCCACCATACCCAGCTAATTTTTTTGTATTTTTAGGAGAGACAGGGTTTCACCATCTTGGCCAGGTTGGTCTTGAACTCCTGATCTCATGATCCACCCACCTTGACCTCCCAAAGCACTGGAATTACAGGCGTGAGCCACTGTGCCTGGCCTCCTTTTTTTTTAAATTTTATTTTAATTTATAGAGATGGGGTCTCACTACATTGCCCAGCCTGGTCTTGAAATCCTGAGCTCAAGCGATTCTCCTACCTTGGCCTCTCTAAATTCTGGGATTATAGGCATGAGCCACTGCAACCAGCCCTTTTTCTTTCTCTTTTTTAAAATTTTATTTTAATTTATAGAGATGGGGTGTCACTATGTGACCAGCGCAGGCTGGTCTTGAATGCCTGAACTCAAGCCATCTTCCCACCTCAGCCTCCCAAAGTGCTAGGATTATAGGCGTGAGCCACCTTGCTTGGCCTTATCTTTTTCAAGTCTTCCTTTCTTTTGTCTACAATTTTGTGGTTCAACACGTATCTCAGGGGTCACTACCTCTCAGAGGTTTTCCCTAAAATCCCTGCTGGAATTAATGGTCTCTGCCTCATTCTTTCTTTTCACATTGTATTGCAGTTTACTGGTTTCTTCCCTATCTTATTCATTCCCTCTATGTCTGTGTGTTCTTTGAGGATTTTTAAACGTTCTTGATTTTTAAAAATCTGTGTATTTCCTGGCCTAGCAGAGTACCTAATACCAGTTGGATTTATTTATTTACTTATATATTTTCTAGAGACAGGGACTCACTATGTTGCCCAGGCTGGTTTCGAACTCCTGGGCTCAAGCTCAGTTGGATTTAAAATTAACATTTGTTACCTCCAGGCGCAGTGGCTCACACCTGTAATCCCAGCACTTTGGGAGGCTGAGGCAGGCAGATCACGAGGTCAGGAGATCAAGACCATCCTGGCTAATACGGTGAAACCTCGTCTCTACTAAAACTACAAAAAATTAGCCGGGCGTGGTGGCACACGCCTGTAGCCCTAGCTACTTGGGAGGCTGAGGCAGGAGAGTCGCTTGAACCTGGGAGGCGGAGGTTGCAGTGAGCCCAGATAGTACCACTGTACTCCAGCCTGAGTGACAGAGCAAGACTCCATCTCAAATAAATAAATAAAGTTAACATTTGTTGATAGTAAATGGTATAGGTTATGGTAACTTGGCCTTCCCAATTTAGGACTACAAAAACAAATAAACACACACAAAAAAGGAGGAAAGCACACAAATCCTTTGTATATAATTTGCATACCACACACCTCTGCAGGACACTAGCCTTTTTATTTATTTATTTTTTTTTGAGATGGAGTTTTGCACTGTTGCCCAGACTGGAGTGCAGTGGTGCAATCTCAGCTCACTGCAACCTCCGCCTCCCGGGTTCAAGCGATTATCCTGCCTCAGCCTCCCAAATAGCTGGGATTATAGGTGTCTGCCACCATGCCTGGCTAATTTTTTGTATTTTTAGTAGAAATGGGGTTTCACCATGTTGGTCAGGCTGGTCTCGAACTCCTGACCTCAAGTGATCCGCCCGCCTCTGCCTCCCAAAGTGCTGAGATTACAGGCATTAGCCACTGCACCCTACCCTTTTTTTTTTTTTTTAAATATTTTTTTGAGACAGGGTGTTACTCTGTCACCCAGGCTAAAGTACAATGGCATGAACTTGGCTCACTGCAGCCTGGACATCCTGGGCTCAAGTGACTGATGGCGCCTCAGTCTCAGGAGTGGCTGGGACCACAGGCACCACACCCAGTAGTTTCAGCTACCAGGGAGGCTGGGGCAGGGGGATTGCTTGAGCCTGGGAGGTCAAGGCTACAGTGAACTGTGGTTGTGCCACTGCACTCCAGCCTGGGTGACAGAGTGAGACCCTGTCTCTCTCTCTTTCTTTTTGGCAGGGAGAGGATCTCACTATGTTGCCCAGGCTGGTTTCCAACTCCTGGTCTCAAGCCATCCTCCCGCCTCGGCCTCCAAGTGCTGAGAATACAGGTGTGAGCTACAGTGCCTGGCCCAAACCAGCCTCTTTCCACAGGAATTGATACTTGTTTATGCTGCTCAGTGATGTGATAGCTACTTGACCCAGGAAAATCCAGGTATGGTTCCATTATGAGGAATCCCACCCATTAAGACATCAACTCTAAGTGGCAGGTGAAGTGTCCAGGAGAGGATGTGGTATGCAAATTGTGTCAGAAGGATTTATCTATTCTGGAATCCATACTGGTTCCCAAACAAAAAAAATTGTCATTTCCAGTGTTGTACAGTTTTTTGGAATGATTGGGAGCTTAGATGGCCAGAATGCTCTAAGTTTGATGCCATTTGGTCATTTTCAGGACTTTTCCTGAGTTTTCAATTTTTCTTAGTTTAATAAACAGTTTAATAAACTCCTGCCCAATAAACAGTAGGCTATGTCTAATGTACTGTGAATTTTATTTTTTTTTTTTTGAGATGGAGTCTCATTCTGTCACCCAGGCTGGAGTGCAGTGGCACGATCTTGGCTTACTGCAATCTCTGCCTCCCGGGTTCAAGCGATTCTCCTGCCTCAGCCTCTCAAGTAGCTGGGATTACAGGCATGCACCACGACACCTGGCTAATTTTTTGTATTTTTAGTAGAGAGGGGGTTTCACCATGTTGGCCAGGTTGGTCTCGAACTCCTGACCTCAAGTGATCCGCCCGCCTTGGCCTCCCAAAGTGCTGGGATTACAGGCGTAAGCCCGGCCTGTACTGTGAATTTTTGAAATGAACCTAATTCCTACTTTACAGCAGAGCTTTTCTTTCTTTCTTTTTCTTTCTTTCTTTCCTTTCTTTCTTCCTTTCTCTCTCTCTTTCTTCTTTTTTTTTTTTCTGAGACAGGGTCTGGCTCTGTCATCCAGGCTGGAGTGCAGTGGCGTGATTTCGGCTCACTGCAACCTCCATCTTCTGGGTTCAAGTGGTTCTCATGCCTCAGCTTCCCGAGCAGCTGGGATTACAGGTGCCCACCACAACACCCATCGATTTTTTGTATTTTTAGTGGAGACAGGGTTTCACCATGTTGGTAAGGCTGATCTAGAACTCTTGACCTCAGGTGATCCACCCACCCCGGCCTCCCAAAGTACTGGGATTACAGGCTTGAGCCACCGCACCCGGCCTACAGCAGAGCTTTTCATATGAATTGTGTGGCTTAATTTTTTTTTCTTTGGAAGTTAAATTGCAAATGCTTTATCTGTGGGTTCAGCTTTTTGTATTCTTAATTCTTCAGCGGGCCGGGGGCAGGGGGCGGCGATAGAGGCGGCTCTTACAGGGTACTCATTCTTTGGCTCCGCCTTAGATCTGGCTAAGGGGATAGAAAACGACCCTGCCTCGCTTTGTTTAAAAACGCAGAGTTCTAGCATGGTGTTTCCCCCCCCCCTTCTCTTCTTAAGCTTACCAAGTTCCAGATACCGCCCAGATGAATTTTTTTTTTATCACAGCTGTCATTCTCATTTCTACAGGCATGAAAAGTGCGACTCAAGTTCAGTGTCTTGCCTCGGGTAGCTTGGGGATTCCCAGTCAGCTCCTCGCGCCTTCGTCGCCGCTCCCCTTCCACCCCGCGCCTTCGCCGGCCGTCCCCTGCTCCATCCAGGCCACGGGGGTGACGGTGGGGTCTGGGGCATTCAGGCCTGGCTGGGCATGAGGGCTTCAGGCCCAATTCCACGCCCGAACTCGTCCTGATTAGTCTGGCTTTTCTGGTCGCCCCAGCCCTGCGGTCGGGGAGAGCTGGAAACCACCGAGCTGACAGCCTAGAGCGTCGCTCCCCGGCCGCCGAGCGCTGACGCCGCGCCGGGGGCGGGGCAGCTGGAGGCGGCAGGGAGAGGAGCGAGCAGCCGGGAAGGGCTGGCCGGCTTCGCAGCGCCCCGCCGTGGCTGCGGCCGGAAGCGGTCTCGTTGGCCCTGCGGCGCTGGAGCCTTGACGCACGGAGCTCGAGAGCGAGAACGGGAGAGAAAGGGGTAGAAATGGCGGCTCCGCTCGGCTCCCGCTGAGGAGGGCGAAGCCGGCGGAGTGTCTGTGCTGCCGGTCTGCAGCACCGCCCCCGCTTCCCGCACGCCGCCTGCTCACGCCGACTTCCCTTCCTCTGCCCGGCTCTCTCTTGTGCTCGTCTGCGCTCCGCACGCTCCGGGCCGGCTCGTCTCTCATTGCCCGGCTCGGCTCCGCTGGCCCTGACTGACCGGCCGGCGGGCCGGCCTTGCTCGGCTCTCCCGGGCGCGGCGTGGACTCCGTCCCCCTGGCTGGACCATGGTGAACACCCGGAAGAGCTCTCTCCGCCTTCTCGGGTCCAAGTCTCCTGGTCCCGGGCCTGGGCCTGGGGCCGGAGCAGAGCCTGGGGCGACCGGAGGCAGCAGCCATTTCATCTCCTCTCGGACCCGCTCCTCCAAGACCCGCGCCGCCAGCTGCCCCGCCGCCAAAGCCGGGGGAAGCGGTGGCGCCGGCGTCACTCTGGATGAGGCCAGGGTAAGAGCGCGGCGTCCCGAGTCCGGAGGCTCGGAAGTGCCGGCCCTGCTGCCGGGGCTTTGTCTGGCCGGGTTGGGGGTAGGAAGCCTACAGTGGAGACCGCTCGGGCGGCTGGAGACAGGGTCTGCGGGCGCGGTGGAGGGTGGCACCCAGAGAAGGGCCGCGACGCTGGCCCCTTTGCTTTTCAAGCTGGCCCGGCTCTTTTGTGTGAAGAACAGCCCTTGAGTCCAGGGGAGAGGGCTTTGGGGGTCCCTTTCGGCGTCATTCGAACGATCTGCTGTCCGTGTCCTTGTCCTGCCCCAGAGGGGAATTCTAGCGGGGAAGCAAGAGCGAAGGGCCAGAGCCCCTGGGTGGAAGGGTTGGAGAAGTGAAAGTTTTCTGCGGTGTCAAACCCTTCTTGAAAGTGTGTCAGTTCCTGCCGCTGTCTAACTCCAGCTTACTCTCAGTTTGGGGGTGGTTCAAGTTGGTGAGGAAGTGAACAGAGAGCTCCAGTTGGCAGCCAGGCAGGGATGCTGAAAAAAGTTTGTAGCTGCTCTGACACCAACTTTAAAAACAAAATCAACGCTATCGCCTCTCCAGGCAGGAGAGATCAAACATGATATTATAGCTGGGGAACCAGCCAGCTAGCTCACCAAGGTGCTAGTAGGAACCAGAGCTTTCAGGTCACAGAAGGAGCACGTCGAAAGAAACAAGTGGAATGTTTCGGATAGTCAGCACCATCATGCCAAAACTGTGTGGTTTCTTGGGTGTCTACATTTTTGTTATGGGACTATATTACAAAAGGTGAATGAACACCATAGTCATGCAGTTGCAAAAATGACATTTAAAGACGCTGGTGATTGAATTAAAAAACTGATTGAAAGATCTTGAAATTTTATTACCTACATTATAAAGCTAAGCACAGATATTTATTGTTTTAAAGGAATTGACACGTTTGTTTTACTATGAGATTGTTTCTGAATTCAGAGAAGAGTGTATTGCTTCTGTCTAAAAGAGGTTGACTTGCTAAGTAATTTGGCTGGAAAAAGCTGTTCATTTAAAATGCTCCTTTAATTCCACACCATTTTGTGGTTCTTATTGGGGGAAAGCAATATTTTATGTTCTAGGGGTCTACAAGATCGCGGTTTGTGTGTGCTTTTCTTTGTGTCTTACACTGTTTTGACACTAACAGAATGGATCTAGGCAGAGACAGGAATATTTTACCATACTACTCTGAAATATTTTTATTATATCTTTGAAAATCGTTTTGGCTTTTCTTTGATAAAATTTTGGGCATTATAACGTCCTATTTAATAGACTATTTTGGGGGCTTACAGCTCTCTTAGGTTGAAATAAGGTTAAATCTGAAAGTTGTGCAAACTGTTGAGAATAAGTACTTTGAAGACGAGGCTTTCGGTGGAAACTATTCCAAACATGTTCAAGCTTCTTGACCTACTGAGGCTATCACATATTTTAAAATAAAACTCAATTTAAGAAAAGATCTTTTCTGTACATTTAAGGACAAAGAAAATATTTAGGGTGTAAGCATTTAATCGTATCATGCTATGTGAATGCCTAGTCTGTTAGAGCAGTGTCTAACTCATCTGAAGCAATTAGCTCATCTTCACTCATCAGTTTGTGGTCCCATTTTTGAATTCATGGATATCATGCTGTCCTCACCCCCCGAGGAATAAGGTGAGGTAATTTGTCAAGCAGCTGTTATAGAGATGTTAAAAGGCTAGGAATCAATAATCTAATGAGGAAATGAACATTTGGTAGCTTTTAAATTGCTAAAAGAATGAAAGATATGAGAGCTCTTTGTAGAAGGGTACTAATGAAACTTTGTTTCAAAGATCCTTTTAAAATGTTTTAAAGCACCATAAATAACAGGGTACTAAAGATTTACTTTGAAATATTTGTTTTTCAGTCTTAAGAAGATTTATGTTCGGCTCTAGGAGATGATGTAGTCATCTAATTGCTTTCTCTGAAAGGTTTTTTTAGAGACGTAACTACTCTTACATAGTGATTGGACCTTTAGAAGAGGATAAATTATAATTCTGAATTTATTAAGTTTATGGACTATATATTTATGAAGCAGGTTGTATATTTCTGGTTAGCTCTTCTCCAGTTTTGTAGGAATTTAGCACTCCTGGTTCACCCTTTCTGGAGTACTTAAAGACACCCTCTATGTCTGTGGGGTCTGTAATAAGCATTTGCCAGTGTCTGTAAAGTCTCATTTGGTGCAAAATGGGGTTGCCCGTGTTGTTGCTTTCGCAGACCCTTATTTTTGTAGAAAGAAATGTATTCCTGTTTGTAACATAATATTCCTGTTTGTAATTGAGGAGTTTCTCCTTTTTCTGCTTTTGTGCCATGTTTGTTTGTTTGTTTTTTTTTGAGACGGAGTCTCGCTGTAGCCCAGGCTGGAGTGCAGTGGCGCGATCTCGGCTCACTGCAGGCTCCGCCCCCCGGGGTTCACGCCATTCTCCTGCCTCAGCCTCCCGAGTAGCTGGGACTACAGGCGCCCGCCACCACGCCCGGCTAATTTTTTTGTATTTTTATTAGAGACGGGGTTTCACGGTGTTAGCCAGGATGGTGTCGATCTCCTGACCTCGTCATCAGCCCGCCTCGGCCTCCCAAAGTGCTGGGATTACAGGCGTGAGCCACCGCGCCCAGCCTGTGCCATGTTCTTAACTAACTACACTTGATGCCTATTTTTCCCCCTTTTCCCTGTTTTTAGATTATTTCATTCACTGTGTCCAGAGACATTTTATTTGCTTTAAAAAGTCATAGCGCTATGAGCTTTTCTTAAAGTTTTGTCTTTTTCCCAAGTAGTATATGCATAGGATGGGGGAAAATATGCATTCTGCCGATTATTGGAATTATTTTCTTTTTCTTTTTTTCGGTATGAAAAGCCTTTTTTTTTTTTGACATGTAAAAGGTGGTACTTAGTGTATATAACTCTGTGAGTTTGGAGATAAGTATATATTTGTGAAAACACCACCGCATCAACACCATAGACATGTCCGTCATTCCTAAAGTTTCCCTGTCCCTTTTATTATGAATGTATTATTAGTATTATTTTTGTGGTAAGAACACTTGATATAAAATCTACCCTCTTAGAAAATTTTAAGTATGCAATACAGTATTCTTAGATGTAGGCACTATGCTATATAGATCTCCAGAACTTATCTGGCATAAGTGAAACTTGATTGTCCCCCCACAAGACCCTGGCAATCACCCTTCTACTCTCTGCTTCTGTGAATTTGCTAGTTTAGATTCCACTAAACTAGCAGATAAGTGAGATCATTCAGTATTTGTCTTTCTGGGACTGACATATTATTTAGTGTAACATCCTCTAGGTGCATCTGTGTTGTTGTAAATGGCAGGATTTCCTTCTTAGGCTTAATAGTATTCCACTGGGCATGCACACATGTACACCACGTTTTCTACATTCATCTCTTTTTGGACATTTAGATTGTTTCCATGTCTTAGCTATTAATAATGCTACTGCGAACATGGAAGTGCAGATGTCCGTCGAAATCCTAATTTCAATTCCTTTGGATAAATACCCAGAAGTTGGGATTGCTGGATCATATGGTAGTTCTATTTTTAATTTTTTGAGGAACGTTCATACTGTTTTCCATAGTGGCTGCACCATTTTGCATTTCTACTGACATGTACCAGGATTCCCTTTTTTCTACATCTCCCCAATATTTGTTGTCTCTTGTCTTTTTGACAAGAGCCATTTTGACAGGTGTGAGGTGATATCTCATTGTGGTTTTGATTTGCATTTCCCTGATGATTAGTAATGTTGAGCACCTTTTTATATACCTGACAGGTGTCTGTTTAGTTAGGACCCTTTTTTTTTTTTTTTGAGACAGAGTCTTACTCTGATGCCCAGGCTGGAGTGGTTCACTGCAGCCTTAAAATCCTGCTTTGCCCATTAAAAAATGTTTTCTTCCTTTGGAGTTGTAGGAGTACCCTATGTATTTTGGAAATTAACTGCTTATCAGATATATGGTTTGCAGATTTTTCTCTTAATCTGTAGATTGCCTTTGTGCCCTCACTTTTAAATTTTCTTATTTTTTTTTCCTCTCTTATCATTACCCACAATGCCCACACTTTTAAAATATCAGGTTGTTTTTTAGTGCTATGCAGTTAGATGTGATTACTCCTGTATACTGTGGCTTTTGTTTTGCTCCAAGCTTTCATAAAGCTTGACCCCTTTTAGATCAGTTAATCTGGCCCTCAGTCATTAGCGTTTATTTGCTCCACCTAGGTGTCACTCCTAGTAAACAATCTAATACTGTATTCACAAAACTGTACAGCAATCTTTGAAAATTATTTCAACTCTTTTTTTCTACTTCTCCTAATTGTTAGGTCTGTTTGCTGGTATTTCTGGCTTTTTCACTAGCTTTTTAGGCTTTTTGAGATAGTCATTGACTCTGAGTCCCCATCTTGTGAGATCAAAATAAATATTTTGAGTAACTTTAGAAGTAAAATGCTGTATTACTTTATTTTTATTTTAATTAAAAAAATCCCTAGGTCCTTCTTTAGTATACTTTTATCACCTTGTGCTTTTCCTTTTCTAACACTCATGCGTTTGCCAACATAACAAAGCAGAGTGGTCGAAATTGAGGGTTAAAGAGGTAAAAGAAGTCTGAGAGGGAAATCTCATAATGTGTGTAACTCTCAGATGAGCAGGGGAAAATATAAGTTCATCAGAACAGAGCAAGTTTTTCCTTATACTGTATCAGATTTACATGGAGTACAATATAGGTACTCCTATAGTACAATATAGGTACAATATATTGTAACGTGACAATGTTCCCTGCCACAATTTCGAACCAAAGCAGTAGTGGAGTTCATAGGATTGTCTCTGGTAGCCAAGTGAAAATGCAGCTTAAATTCAGTTACAGGCTATTTCTGTAGTCCAGATATACACGCATTCTGTTGTTTAGGTCATGGATGAAACTTATAAAGCCTGTGGAAGTGAATACATACTAATTCCTTAAATCATTTTCCCTGTCAAGGAGTCTTTTAAACCATCCTTTGGTAGATGTTTTATTGTATGTCTCCTAAATACCTAATTATAGGTAAACTCATAACTTCTGGAATCCAGCTGGACAAGTGGTAGAATTACTACTGTTATGAGAACTGAGAAGCCCAACCAGTGTTTGCACCTGAATGTTGAGTGATCCTGTCTGTTCAAGGATCTAAGTGCCATATTACTTTGAATTATGTGTTTGGCATTTCTTTCAGGACATACACAATGAAGTTTCATTTGTGTGCATTATCCGTTTCATTTGTGTGCATAATCAACTTGAGTGGATTTCTTTGGGTTGTTTTTTTTTTTTTTTTTTTTTTTTTGAGATGGAGTCTTACTCTGTAGCTCAGGCTGGAGTATAGTGGTACAATCTTAGCTTACTGCAACCTCCGCTTCCCAGGTTCAAGCAATTCTGCTGCCTCAGCCTCCCAAGTAGCTGGCATTACAGGCGCCTGCCACCACACCTGGCTAATTTTTGTATTTTTTAGTAGAGACAGGGCTTCATCATGTTGGTCAGGCTGGTCTCGAACTCCTGACCTCAGGCGACCCGCCCGCCTCGGTCTCCCAAAGTGCTGAGGTTACAGGCATGAGCCACCACATCCGGCCCAAGTGGATTTCTTTATACTTAGGTTTTTGGTCTTTCAATAAGAATGTTTTACACTTCTTTTGTGCCTCCTCTCTGGAGGGGGAGTCTATGAACAATGAGTTACTGAGTAAAAAAAATTGGGAATTTTTGGATAAAAAGTTACATGGAAGTACAAAGTTGGGGGGGAATCATGTATGTGTTAACTTCATTTAAATATAAGTTAGATTTTTTTTTTGAGCAGTAAGTTTTGTAGTTTTATCTGGAGGTAGGATATATACCTTTGGCTAAAGTCTTTCTCCTCTAACTATTAGAGTAGGCCGTAAGTGCCATGAAGGCAGGCACTATATTTTACTTTCCCCCTAAATGCCATATTCCCAGGGCCTGAATACAGCACCTGACACAGTGCTGAAAATGCTCAATAAATATCTGTTAAATGAATGAATGAATAGCATTTCAAGGAGCTGACCCATTTTGAGACTATCATGGTTATAGGACTTTGAGAATAGAGGATAAATAAAACACAGTTTTTACCCTCAGTACTGCAAATGTGCACATGGTATGCATATGAGAAGTTATTAACAAGGTAAATTGGTTCAAAGTAGGTGCTAAATGAATGGCATGGATACTTAGTGTGGTAAGACTTCTGGTCCTCTACTCGTCGAATGTTTTGGTGGAACTCTTTTTTTTGTGTGTTGTTTAAAGACAGAGACTATTATGTTGAAACCTGTATCCTGAGTGCCTAGAACAGCATGTGTCAGTCAGTGCCCAATTAATACCTTTTTTTTTTTTTTTGAGGCAGAGTCTCTCTCTGTTGCCCAGGCTGGAGTACAGTGGCTCCATGTCGCCTCACTGCAACCTCCGCTTCGCGGGTTCCAGAGATTCTCCTGCCTCAGCCTCCTGAGTAGCCAGGATTACAGACGTGAGCCACCACGTCTGGCTAATTTTTGTATTTTTAGTAGAGACGAGGTTTTGCCATGTTAGCCAGGCTGGTCTTGAAATCCTGACCTCAGGTGATCTGCCTGCCTCGGCCTCCGAAAGTTCTGGGATTACAGGTGTGAGCCACTGTGCCTGGCCTAATTACTTTTTTTTTTTTTTTTGAAACAGAGTTTCCCTCTTGTTGCCCAGGCTGGAGTACAATGGTGCGACCTCAGCTCACTGTAATCTGTGTGCTTCCTGGGTTCAAGTGATTCTCCTGCCTCAGACTCCTGAGCAGCTGGGATTACAGACATGCGCCACCTCACCTGGCTAATTTTTGTATTTTTAGAAGAGATGGGGTTTCACTGTGTTGAACAGGCTGGTCTGGAACTCCTGACCTTAGGTGATTTGCCCGCCTCGGCCTCTCAAAGTGCTGGGATTACAGGTGTGAGCCACTGCACCCGGCCCCTAATACTTTTTTTTGAGAAGCTCTCACTTTGTCTCCCAGGCTGGAGTGCAGTGGCATGATCTTGGCTTGCTGCAATCTTTGCCTCTTGGGCTCAAGTGATCCTCCCACCTTAACCTCCCGAATAGCTGGGACTACAGGCACAAGCCACCACAGTCAGCTAATTTTTGTATTTTTTGTAGAGATGGGGTTTCGCCACATTGCCCAGGCTGGTCTTGAACTCCTGGGCTTAAGCAGTCCACCCACCCCGGCCTCCCAAAGTGCTGGGATTACAGCCACTGCGCCTGGCCAGTTAATACTTTTTGAGTGAATTAATGGAAAGTATGACTCACTTTAAATTATTTTCACATTGACAATCTCTCTCTCTCTCTCTTTTTTTTTAATAGAGATGGGGTCTTTTTATGTTGGCCAGGCTAGTCTCGAACTACTGGCCTCAAGCAATCCTCCCACCTTGGCCTTCCAAAGTGTTAGGGTTACAGGTGTGCACCACCATGCCTAGCCGACAATCTTTCTTTTTTGCTATACTCACTTGTTGCATTTTGCCCTAATAAGGAGAAGAGTAAACCAAGGTTTATTTAGCATCTCATACGTGCCAGGTGTTGTTTAATGCTGTCTCATTCAATCCTTGTAACAACTCTGCAAGGCAAGTGATGATACTCGCATTTTATAGCTGAGGAAACTGAGTTGCCTTAGAGGTTAAGTGGCCTGTGGAAGGCTAAAGGTAATATTTAAATCTAGTTTTGTCTTCTCTACTTGTATATCTTGTTTCATCTGTAGTTCTTTACCTCACTTATCATTACTCTTTGATGTTGTTCAATCAGTAGTTTCCACCAAAATCTGAAAAAGTGAAGGTGGCAGCTGTTGTATACTGTAAGTATACCTACTGTTTATAGACAACTTTTACCTGCCTATCTGGAATTGTGGTGTCTAGGAGTATATTGGGACTGAAAGTATGAATAGTAACATATAGGGATATGAAATATAGGACAATAATTTTCAGTAATTTTCTGCAGCCTGATTTCAGGAGGCAGTGTGTAGGGAGAGGAGCAGGCATATTGTACAGAGATTGTTTTTGCAGTATTTTTCCTTAATATTATATATGTGTATATTTATATTTTTGTTTCATTTTTTATTTTTAAATTTTTTTTGTGGGTACATAGTAGGCATATATGTAGTATATATGTATTTTTTGAGACAGGATCTTGCTGTGTTGCTCAGGCTGGAGTGCAGTAGTGCAATCACAGCTCGTTGCAGCCTTGACCTCCTGAGTTCAGTGGATTCTCCCATCACAGCCTCTGAGTAACTGGGACTACAGACATGTGTTACCACACCTGGCTATTTTTTTTTTTTTTTTTTTTTGTAGAGACAAGGTTTTGCTATGTTGCCCAAGCTGGTCTCAAACTCCTGGGCTCAAGAAATCTTCCTGCCTTGGCTTCCTAAAGTGTGGGATTACAGGAGTGAGCTACTGCTCCTGGCTTATATTTTTCTCTTTCTTTTCTTTTTTTCTTTTTTTTGAGATGGAGTTTCGCTCTTGTTGCCCAGGCTGGAGTTCAATGACTCACCATAACCTCTGCCTCTGGCGTTCAAGCGATTCTCCTGCCTCAGCCTCCCGAGTAGCTGCGATTACAGGCTTGCGTCACCATGCCTGGCTAATTTTGTATTTTTAGTAGAGACAGGGTTTCTCCATGTTGGTCAGGCTGGTCTTGAACTCCTGACCTCAGGTGATCCCCCCGGCTTGGCCTCCCAAAGTGCTGGGATTATAGGCGTGAGCCACCGCGCCTGGCTATATTTTTATTTTTCCAGACAGGAGTCTCACTATGTTGCCCAGGCTGGTTTTGAACTACTGGCTTCAAGCAGTCCTCCTGACTCAGCCTGCCGAGTAGCTGGGATTACAGGTATGAGCCACTGCACCTGGCTCTTCTCAGTATTTTTAAGTTGGCTTTGGGAAAAAAAAAAAAATCCCGGTAAGCAGACTGAGAGTCTGGGCCTTGTGGTCTCTATTAGAGGTATACTTGTGCTACTATCTTTCCCTCTACTTGGTGATATTAATTTACAGTGTATACATTTGCGTTTATTGCTGTGGGAAACTATCTCTAGGGGGAGTAAAGTTTTCCATTTGAAAAAATGTTTCATACTTTAAACCTCTTGAAAAGACATTATATAGCATATTTATATGTGAAGATTTGCATTAGTAAATTAAACATCTTTAGCATTGTTAGTTTATATCTGTATTCTAGGACCCAAATTGGAATCCTGAAAGGAGTGGTGCTTAAAATACCCAGAAAGTATGTTCTCTAGTCTTGCCAGACAGAAATTTGGAGGTAATCCAGAGCCTAGTTTTTGATGGTGAGGCTTGCTTGTTCCTTTGTTCGTTCATTCATTCATTCATTCAGTAAATATCGAGCAGCTACTACACTAAAATGTAAGTGCCATGTGGGCAAACATTTTTGGTTCTTTTTGAGTTGCAAAATCATAGAAGTCCAGGAAGCACCATTCACGCTGTAGTCTATGTGAATGGCACTCCTGGAGTTGTATCATTATGCTTGTCTGAATCCCAAGAATCTAGCATTGTGTTTGGGGTGAAAGCAGGTGGAGAATAAAACACAGTCCCTGCTTCATGGTATGTACTTAAAGTCTAGTGGAGGAGACAAATACATGCCATAAAAAAATAGCCCTTCCCTCAGGTCTAGTGCCCTTTCATCTACATTTGTTTAGGTGACTTAGCAGCCTGCCTAGGGGCTGCTGTTTCCAGGCTCACTTCCTGTGTGGGTTTTAGAGAGGGGCCAAAAGCACCCTAAAGTTAATTTTGTTTAATCATTATATCTGAAGTTTATACCCGTTCTTGTCTCCTTTTGGGCCTTTAAGGTCTTTAACACTACATTTTTGTGGCAAATTTAGAATTAAGTGAAGAAATAGGATATTATTTTAGAGATTTGGCAGAAACCTATGGTTAGAGGGAATTATTCTTATGTGCCAGACAACTTTCTTGCATATTATCTGGTTAGTGACTGTACTAAGATCTGGTTTTGTGATTAGGGTTTGGAGTATTAGGATGATTGGAGTGGTCTGATATTTTTGGACTTGAATTTAGAAATTACTTTAAAAACTTGTCAGCCATTATTTTTGGACTTAAATTTAGAAGTTGGTTAAAAAAATTGTCAACCATTGTGTTTTGTTTTTGGTAGGAATGTAATTTCAGAGAAATGTGGAAAATTAAACTTCTTGGATTAAAACTTTGATTTGTTATTTAAAACTTTTAGTGTTAGGAAACTTTTTCCTCTAAAAGTGGTGAAGATGAATCAGTTATGGAATAAATTTGACCCTTGACAAGATAATGAAAGAATAGTGAACTCTTTTAGCCTAACCTAAAACTATTCCCTATTTTACAACTGTGTGGAATACTGACTCTTTGGATTTTAACTCTTTATGTTTGGGCATTATGTACTTCTGGAAGAATTTGTCTGTAAGAGATCTTAGGTTGAGATTGTAACAGAAGGTATAAAACTATGTTACAAAATTTTACTTATTAATGTAATTAGTTTGTAAGTATCCATGATGATGAATGATCATAACCTCCAAATAAGTTATGTAAGGGTTTTAGCATATTTTTGTGGTTTATATTTCACTGATGATCTGAAGTCAGCATAGTTAAAAGCAAAATAATGAATTGAGGCCAGGCGCGGTGGCTCATGCCTGTAATCCCAGCACTTTGGGAGGCTGAGGCAGGCGGATCATGAGGTCAGGAGTTCGAGAGTAGCCTGACCAATATGGTGAAACCCCGTCTCTACTAAAATACAAAAAAATTAGCTGGGCTTGGTGGCACGTGCTTGTAATCCCAGCTATTTGGGAGGCTGAGGCAGGGGAATCGCTTGAACCCAGGAGGAGGAGGCTGCAGTGAGCTGAGATCGCGCCACTGTACTCTAGCCTGGCGACAGAGCAAGACTGTCTCAAAAAAAAAAAAAAAAAAAAAAAAAAGAATCGGTAGTCAGACATGGTTGTTTACACCTGTAATCCCAGCTACTCAAGAGGCTGAGCAGGGAAGGATGGCTTGAGTCCAGCCTGGACAATATAGCAATACGCTTTTTTTTTAAATAGTGAGTTGGATTTTTTTTTTTTTTTAATCAAGACTTTGTTTTCCTGGGTTACAGAGAACAGTGGTTAATAGGTAGGGTGACCGTATGTCCCCATTAGCCTAGGATAGTACTGACCTGTCTGGCACATGCACAGTTTATGCTTGTCCCAAAATAATTATTAATGCCCTCAACCCTCTATTTAACATGTTTAGATGATAGAATACTTGGTTACTGTGTTGGTTTATATATATGTCTTTTAAGTTTTCATAAGTGATATTTAGCTATAGAGCTTATTTTATTATTTTCTCTTAACATTATATTTTCATCCATGTAGTAACTCTGTATACATACAGTCACTACTCCCACCTGCTACATAGTACTTTGTAGGGTCAATTAATTGCATTTTAACTATCCACCCTCAAGAGATAGGTACCTAAATTGCTTCCTACTCTCTGCTACTGCAAATATTGCTGCAGTTAATACCCTGATGCAATGTCCCTTGTAGACTTGGTGTGGGAATTTCTTTGAGATAGACACCAAGAGTGGAAAAGTATATGTGTACTTAAAGTAAGTATTACTTCTATATGTGCTGCTCTAATCTCCACTCATAGGAGTATAGTGTATGAGAGTTCTTTTTTTTTTTTTTTTGAGACGGAGTCTCGCTGTTGCCCAGGCTGGAGTGCAGTGGCGCGATCTTGGCTCACTGCAGTTTCCGCCCCCCGGGGTTCACGCCATTCTCCTGCCTCAGCCTCCCGAGTAGCTGGGACTACAGGTGCCCGCCACCTCGCCCGGCTAATTTTTTTTGGTATTTTTAGTAGAGACGGGGTTTCGCTGTGTTAGCCAGGATGGTCTCGATCTCCTGACCTCATGATCTGCCTGCCTCGGCCTACCAAAGTGCTGGGATTACAGGTGTGAGCCACCGCGCCGGGCCGAGAGTTCTTGTATCTCCACTTCCCTGCCAATATTTGGCATGAGCTACCTTTTTAATAGCCTTTCTTTAGTTACTATTTGGGTAACTCTTTATGTCCATACTAACTTTTTTTGCTTTCCTTCTCTCTAAAATGCCTGTTAAGATTTGTTTTTGCCCATTTTGCTATTTTCTACTGGAGTTCCTATTTTATTATTATTTTTCAAGAGTAATTAGAGATTCGTGAGTTTTGACTTTTTTTTGGTCCCACACTAAAGGATACTGTTTACATTGTGACTTTGTACACACATATAGTTTTACTATTTAGGTTTTTGATTCATTTTGTTCATTCTGATAGACAACCTGTCCTTTGTGGTGCCACTTTGTAATACATTAAGTTCTCACGTATGTTGTTCTGATCTCTCTGTTCTTTTCTGTTGGTCTGTTTATGCTTATGGCAATACTATACTTTTTTTTTGTTTTTTAAAATTTTTTGTAGAGACAGGGTTATTGCTGTGTTGCCCAGGTGGTCTTGAACTCCTGCCCTGGCCTCGTGAAGTGTTGGGATTACAGGTGTAAGCCACCATGCCTGGTCCATACTGGTGTGGTTTTTTTTGACCAGGGTCCTGCTCTGTCACCCAGGCTTGAGTGCCCTGGCGTGATCATAGCTCACTGAAGCCTCGACCACCTAGGCTCAAGCAATCCTCTCGCCTCAGCCTCCCAGAGTGTTGGGATTACAGGCATGAGCCGTTCTACCAGGCCAATACTATTTTTCATACTATGGTTTTGAGTTATGTCTTAATATCTTAAAGGACAAGTTTCTCCTTTTTGTTATTTTTCAAGGTTGACTTAGATGTTTGGGGGTTGTTTTTCAATTTTAATTTCAATTGAGATTATAGAGTTACTCAGAAGATCCAACTAGAATTTTTTTTTTTTTTTTTCTCAAGAGAGTCTCGCTCTGTTGCCCAGCCTGGAGTGCAGTGGCATGATCTCGGCTCACTGCAGCCTCCACCTCCCAGGTTAAAGCAATTCTCCTGCTTCAGCCTCCCAAGTAGCTGGGATTACAGGCATGTGCACCCACGCCCAGCTAATTTTTGTATTTTTAGTAGAGATGGGGTTTCACCATATTGGCCAGGCTGGTCTCGAACTCCTGACCTCAAGTGATCTGCCCGCCTTGGCCTCCCAAAGTGCTGGGATTACAGGCGTGAGTGAGCCACTGCGCCTGGCCCCCACTAGAATTTTGATTAGTAATATATTGAATTCATAGATTTTAATCTGTAGAGAATTGACACCTTCAAATTGTTAGCCTGTCTAACAGCATGGAACATCTCTCACTTAACATAGTTTGTATATTTCTTTTGTAGGATTGGATGCTTTCTTTGTGGCCTAATATATTGTCAGTTTTGGTAAATGTTTATTGTGTGCTGGGGAAAAATGTATATTTTCTGTTAGATGTAGAAAAATAAAAATGTATGATGGAAAACATTAAGAGATGGGTTATAATGTGAACTTATTGATTGGTCAGATACTCAAAAATCTCTTGTTCCATATTAAGAGTCTTTTTATTTATTTGTTTATTTATTTTTGAGACAGATTCTTGCCCTGTCACCCAGGCTAGAGTGCAGTGGCTCCATCTCGGCTCACTGCAACCTGTGTCTCCTGGTTTCCAGTGATTCTCCTGTCTCGGCCTCCCGAGTAGCTGAAATTACAGGCATGGGCCAGCATGCATGCCTGGCTAATTTTTGTATTTTTAGTAGGGATGGGGGTTTCACTGTGTTGGCCAGGCTAGTCTCGAACTCTTAACCTCAGGTGATCTGCCTACTTCGGCCTCCCAAAGTGCTGGGATTACAGATGTGAGCCATTGTGCCCGGCCCCATATTAAGATTCTACCTAATTTTTGTTGTTGAAATTATTTTTGTTATTTTTCAAATTCTGGTGTTTTTTTTTAAAGTAAATTTTATTTTAGAATAGATTTTAATTTCCTTTTTGCTTTCTTCTTTCATCCATTGGTTATCTAGAAGTATGTTGCTTACTTTCCAAACAGTTGGGCATTTCTTTTCCTTTCGTTTTTTTTTGAGATGGGGTCTCACTCTCTCACTCAAGCTGGAGTACAGTGGCATGATCGTAGCCCACTGTAGCCTTGAACTCCTGGACTCAAGTGATCCTTCTGTCTCAGCCTCCCAAGTAGCTAGGACTACAGGTGTGTGCCACCAGGCCTGGGTAATTAGAAAATTTTTTTTTGTTAGAAAGGGTCTTGTTATCTCCCTTTGTTGCCCAGGCTGGCCTCAAATTCCTAGACTCAAGCGATCCTCCCACCTTGGCCTTCCTAAGTGCTTGGATCACAGGTATGAGTCACTGTACCCGGCCTACTTTCCGTTTATAGTTTTGTTAATTACTTCTAGCTTAATTCCATTGTGTTCAGAGAACATAACTGCATATGATTTCAGTCTTTTGAAATTTGTTCTGACTTATTTTGTTTATGGTTATTTTGGTAAATGTTTCATGAATGCTGGAAAAGAATATGTATTCTGCAGTTAGGGGTGTAGGATTATAGATATTCACTAAGTCAAATTTGTGCATCTTCTACTTTTTTTTTTTTTTTTTTGAGATGGAATCTTGTTCTGTCACCCAGGCTGGAGTATGCAATGGCGTGATCTTGGCTCACTGCAACCGCAGCCTCCCAGGTTCGAGCAATTCTCCTGCCCCAGCCTCCTGAGTAGCTGGGGTTACAGGCATGCACCACCACACCTGGCTAATTTTTGTATTTTTAGTAGAGACAAGGTTTCACCATGTTGGCCAGGCTGCTCTCGAACTCCTGACTTCAGGTGATCCACCTGCCTTGGCCTCGCAAAGTGCTGGGATTATAAGCATGAGTCACTGCTGGTTTTAAGTTATACGTTTTGCTTTGTGTGTGCATGTGTGATTGTTCTTAAGACTTGTATTTATTAGCTTCGCTTCGCCCCCTCCCCCTCCCCGTCCCCTTCCTCTGTTCTCTTCTTTCTCCTCTTCTTCTTCTCGTTTCTTTTTGGGATAAGATCTCACCCTGTCATCCAGGCTGGAGTGAAGAGGCACGATCAAGGCTCACTGCAGCCTTGACCTTCTGGGCTCAGGTGATCCTCCCACCTCAGCCTCCCAAGTAGCTGGGACTACAAGCATGTGCCACTACGCCTGGCTAATTTTTTGTATTTTTTGTAGAGATGGGGTTTCACCCAGATGCCAAGCTGGTTTCAAACTCCTGGGCTCAAGCGATCTGCCTACCTTGGCCTCCCAAAGTGCTGGGATTACAGGTGTAAGCCACTGTGCCTAGCCAATTAACTCTCATTTTTTCTTTAAAGAACGTTACCTCTTTTTTTTTTTTTCCAGACGGAGTTTCGCTCTTTTTGCCCAGGCTGGAGTGCAATGGTGCAATCTCGGCTCACTGCAACCTCTGCCCCCTGGGTTCAAGCAGTTCTCCTGCCTCAGCCTCCCGAGTAGCTGGCATTACAGGCATGCGCCACTACGACCAGCTAGTATTTTTAGTAGAGATGGGGTTTCTCCATGTTGGTCAGGCTGGTCTCGAACTCCCGACTTCAGGTGATCTGCCCACCTTGGCCTCCCAAAGTGCTGGGATTACAGGTGTGAGCTGCTGCACCCGGCCTATGTTACCTTTAACTACAGACTCTTTAACGTGCTCCTCCACTGTTCTTCCTCTCTTCTTACCCTATATATTTTTTTGAGACAGAGTCTTGCTCTGTTGCCCAGGCTGGAGTGCAGTGGTGCGACCCCGGCTCACTGCAACCTCCGCCTCCTAGGTTCAAGCGATTATTGTACCTCAGCCTCCCAAGTAGCTGGAACTACAGGCGTGCTCCCCCACGCCCAGCTAATTTTTGTATTTTTAGCAGAGAAGGACTTTCATCATATTGGTCAGGCTGGTCTCAAACTTCTGACCTCAGGTGATCCACCTGCCTCGGCCTCCCAAACTGCTGGGATTACAGGTGCGAGCCACTGCACCCAGCTGACACCATCTCTTTTAAAAAAATTCGTAGCAGTTCAACTGGGAATGAAAGTGCCTTTCTTTAATTGCTGCAATTGAGTGACCAGACAATGAAGATAAAAGAGTATGCAGGCCGGGCGCAGTGGCTCACGCCTGTAATCTCAGCACTTTGGGAGGCCTAGGCAGGTGGATCACCTGAGGTCAGGAGTTCGAGACCAGCCTGACCAACATGGAGAAACCCCGTCTGTACTAAAAATACAAAATTAGCTGAGCATCGTGGTGCATGCTTGTAATCCCAGCTACTCAGGAGGTTGAGGCTGGAGAACCACTTGAACCCGGGAGGTGGAGGTTGCAGTGAGCTGAGATCGCGCCATTGCACTCCAGCCTGGGCAACAAGAGCAAAACTCTTGTCTAAAAAAAAAAAAAAAAAAAAAAGAGTATGCAAGAGTGGACACAGTGGCTCACACCTGTATTCCCAGCATTTTGGGAGGCCAAGGTTGGAGGATCACTTGAGGCCAGGAGTTTGATACCAGTCTGGGAAACAAAGTGAGACCTCACCGCTATTAAAAAAACAAAAAATTAGCCTGGTATGGTCGTGTGTGCCTGTAGTCTCAGCTACTTGGGAAGCTAAGGTGAGAGGATCGCTTGAGCCTAGGAGTTTGAGGCTGTAGTGAGTTATGATCATACCACTGCACTCCAGCCTGGCAATAATATCTCATCTCTTAAAAACCAAAAAAAACAAAAACAAACAAAAAAAAACAACCCAAACTTATGCAATACTCAACCTCAGCTCTTTGGAAAAATATTTTATTCTTACTTAAAAAGTATGAAATAAGTATTACTTTGTTTTGTTTTATTTTCTACACATTATGATGAAATAAATATTTCAAATAATATGTACGTACACAGAAAAAAAGGGCCTTTTTCCCTGCTCCCCTAATTTCTCCAGTTTGTTCTTCCGAGGGATAACCACTGTTAAAGCTGCTGTACATCCTTCTGACCATGGCACATGTACTATGGGTTTATATGTGTGTCACACACATATGCACATATAAACAACTCATAGGTTATACCCATAGGTACATGTGCAATGTGTGTGTATGTATAATATATATGTATGTATGTATGTATATATATATGTATGTGTGTGTGTGTGTATATATATATATGTATGTATGTATGTATATATATATATATTTGGAGGCAATGTCTCACTTTGTCACCCAGGCTGGAGTGCAGTGGTGCAGTCATGGCTCACTGCAGCCTTGACCTCCTAGACTCAAGTGATCTCCCACCTCAGCCTCCTGAGTAGCTGGGACTACAGGCATGTGCCACCATGCTTTGGGTCTCCCAAAATGCTGGGATTACAGGTGTGAGCCACCACATCTGGCTTATTTCATTTTTCTTGATGGCTAATATTTCTTTTTTTTCCCTCACACTGTTGACCAGGAGCCTTTCTTTTTTTTTTTTTATTATTATTATACTTTAAGTTTTAGGGTACATGTGCACAATGTGCAGGTTAGTTACATATGTATACATGTGCCATGCTGGTGCGCTGCACCCACTAACTCGTCATCTAGCATTAGGTATATCTCCCAATGCTATCCCTCCCCCCACCCCACAACAGTCTCCAGAGTGTGATGTTCCCCTTCCTGTGTCCATGTGTTATCATTGTTCAATTCCCACCTATGAGTGAGAATATGCGGTGTTTGTTTTTTTTTTTCTTGCGATAGTTTACTGGGAATGATGATTTCCAGTTTCATCCATATCCCTACAAAGGACATGAACTCATCATTTTTTATGGCTGCATAGTATTCCATGGTGTATATGTGCCACATTTTCTTAATGCAGTCTATCATTGTTGGACATTTGGGTTGGTTCCAAGTCTTTGCTATTGTGAATAATGCCACAATAAACATACGCGTGCATGTGTCTTTATAGCAGCATGATTTATAGTCCTTTGGGTATATACCCAGTAATGGGATGGCTGAGTCAAATGGTATTTCTAGTTCTAGATCCCTGAGGAATCGCCACACTGACTTCCACAAGGGTTGAACTAGTTTACAGTCCCACCAACAGTGTAAAAGTGTTCCTATTTCTCCACATCCTCTCCAGCACCTGTTGTTTTCTGACTTTTTAATGATTGCCATTCTAACTGGTGTGAGATGGTATCTCACTGTGGTTTTGATTTGCATTTCTCTGATGGCCAGTGATGGTGAGCATTTTTTCACGTGTTTTTTGGCTGCATAAATGTCTTCTTTTGAGAAGTGTCTGTTCATATCCTTCACCCACTTGTTGATGGGGTTGTTTTTTTCTTGTAAATTTGTTTGAGTTCATTGTAGATTCTGGATATTAGCCCTTTGTCAGATGAGTAGGTTGCGAAAATTTTCTCCCATTTTGTAGGTTGCCTGTTCACTCTGATGGTCGTTTCTTTTGCTGTGCAGAAGCTCTTTAGTTTAATTAGATCCCATTTGTCAATTTTGTCTTTTGTTGCCATTGCTTTTGGTGTTTTAGACACGAAGTCCTTGCCCATTGCCTATGTCCTGAATGGTAATGCCTAGGCTTTCTTCTAGGGTTTTTATGGTTTTAGGTCTAACGCTTAAGTCTTTAATCCATCTTGAATTGATTTTTGTATAAGGTGTAAGGAAGGGATCCAGTTTCAGCTTTCTACATATGGCTAGCCAGTTTTCCCAGCACCATTTATTAAATAGGGAATCCTTTCCCCATTTCTTGTTTTTGTCAGGTTTGTCAAAGATCAGATAATTGTAGATATGCGGCGTTATTTCTGAGGGCTCTGTTGTGTTCCATTGTTCTATATCTCTGTTTTGGTACCAGTACCATGCTGTTTTGGTTACTGTAGCCTTGTAATACAGTTTGAAGTCACGTAGTGTGATGCCTCCAGCTTTGTTCTTTTGGCTTAGGATTGACTTGGCAATGGGGGCTCTTTTTTGGTTCCATATGAACCAAGTTTAAAGTTTAAAAACTTTAAAGTAGTTTTTTCCAATTCTGTGAAGAAAGTCATTGGTAGCTTGATAGGGATGGCATTGAATCTGTAAATTACCTTGAGCAGTATGGCCATTTTCATGATATTGATTCTTCCTACCCATGAGCATGGAATGTTCTTCCATTTGTTTGTATCCTCTTTTATTTCCTTGAGCAGTGGTTTGTAGTTCTCCTTGAAGAGGTCCTTCACATCCCTCGTAAGTTGGATTCCTAGGTATTTTATTCTCTTTGAAGCAATTGTGAATGGGAGTTCACTCATGATTTGGCTCTCTGTTTGTCTGTTGTTGGTGTATAAGAATGCTTGTGATTTTTGCACATTGATTTTGTATCCTGAGACTTTGCTGAAGTTGCTTATCAGCTTAAGGAGATTTTGGGCTGAGACAGTGGGATTTTCTAGATATACAATCATGTCGTCTGCAAACAGGGACAATTTGACTTCCTCTTTTCCTAATTGAATACCCTTTATTTCCTTCTCCTGCCTGATTGCCCTGGCCAGAACTTCCAACACTATGTTGAATAGGAGTGGTGAGAGAGGGCATCCCTGTGTTGTGCCAGTTTTCAAAGGGAATGCTTCCAGTTTTTGCCCATTCGGTATGATATTGGCTGTGAGTGTGTCATATATAGCTCTTATTATTTTGAAATACGTCCCATCAATACCTAATTTATTGAGAGTTTTTAGCATGAAGGGTTGTTGAATTTTGTCAAAGGCCTTTTCTGCATCTATTGAGATAATCATGTGGTTTTTGTCTTTGGTTCTGTTTATATGCTGGATTACATTTATTGATTTGCGTGTATTGAACCAGCCTTGCATCCCAGGGATGAAGCCCACTTGATCATGGTGGATAAGCTTTTTGATGTGCTGCTGGATTCAGTTTGCCAGTATTTTATTGAGGATTTTTGCATCAATGTTCATCAAGGATATTGGTCTAAAATTCTCGTTTTTGGTTGTGTCTCTGCCTGGCTTTGGTATCAGGATGATGCTGGCCTCATAAAATGAGTTTAACACCCCACAGTCAATATTAGACAGATCAACGAGACAGAAAGTCAACAAGGATACCCGGGAATTGAACTCAGCTCTGCACCAAGCGGACCTAATAGACATCTACAGAACTCTCCACCCCAAATCGACCAGGAGCCTTTCTAATAGTTCTAATATTTCTTTGTATCATTATACTGCCACATATTTAACCGGTTGGCATGCAGGTTTTCTCCATACTTTTAACTTTATAAATAGTGTAGCAGAAAATGACCTTTCTTTTTTTTTTGAGACGGAGTCTTCCTCTCTTGCCCAGGCTGGAGTGCAGTGGTGCCACCTCGGCTCACTGCAGCCTCCGCCTTCCAGGTTCAAGTGATTCTCCTGTCTCAGTCTCCTGAGTAGCTGGGATTACAGGCGCCCACCACCAAACCCGGCCAATTTTTTTTTGTATTTTTAGTAGAGACAGGGTTTCACCATGTTGGCGAGGCTAGTCTTGAACTCCTGACCTCAACTGATCTGCCCGCCTCTGCTTCCCAAAGTATCGGGATTACAGGTGTGAGCCACCGCACCCAGCCGACCTTTCTCTTTTAGATAAAGTGGAATTACTGGGTCTAACGATAATGTGTATTTTAAATTTTCATAGGTTTTCTCAAATTGCTTTACACTGAGACTACACCAATTTGTACCCCATTCCCCAATACTATCAGCACTATTTTCATATACCTTTACCAGCTAATTTAAGGAGTTAAATTTTAACTTCCATGAAAGGCAGGGACTACCTTAGTGCTAAGTATCTTTAGTATCTAACACAAAAACAGGCACTTAATAAATTTTGTTTGTGGAAGGAATGAATTATTGAAAGTAATTAATAAGCTTATGAAGTTACATTAATTCTATAAAGCCAAACAAGTATTCTTACTTGAGATTGTATCTACTGTGAGGCAGTAGGTATAAAATTTGTTACTTACAGTACCTCCTTGATTCTTCTAACAATCTCATGAGGTAAATAGTAGTTTCTGAGTTATAGTGGTAGTGCTGTAATGTAAGATTGGTCCTGTCTGTACAACTTCAGAGTCTGTGGCATTTTTCTTTTCTTTTCTTTTTTTGAAACAGGGTCTCACTGTGTCACCCAAGCTGGAGTGCAGTGGTGTAATCATGGCTCACTGCAGCCTGGACCTCCCTGGCTCAAGCGATCCACCTACCTCAGCTTCCTGAGTTGCTGGGACCACAGGCATGTGCCACTACTCACGGCTAATTTTTAAACTTTTTGTAGAGACAAGTCTCAGAGTCTCCTTTGTTGGCCAGGCTGTTCTTGAACTCATGGGCTTAAGTGATCCTTTTACCTCAGCCTCCCAAAGTGTTGGGATTATAGATATGAGCTATCATGCCTGACCATGTGGCATTTTTCAGTACCTACATTGTCTCTTTCTTATTTTAAATAATGTAATATTTTCAGATTTTTAGAAACTACCTTTTAGAAATTTTTATGTGGAAGAAAATGCATTTTAAATTATTATAGACTTTTTTAATCTTTCTGTATCTCCTAAACTAACAGGTCGCTTCTATGTATTTTTTTCTCTTTCTGTATTCTTTCATGATGATTGCTTAGAAATACTAAACTAGTAAGCCCTTGTTCTTGGAATATTTGAGAAAAATTTAGAACATTTTATATGCTTGCCATTTCAGGACTTTGTAGAATAGTGTTGGCCCTAAATAAATAAATAGCAGTGCAGAGTTTTGTTTTTTGCAGTCATGGTAACCACTGCCTCTGTGCATTCCTTTTATAAATGAAAGAAAAAGAAATTGACTGCACTTCTAAGCTTTCTTGTGAAAACAGGAATACTTGTTAAAGAAAAAAAGTATACAAAAAGCCTGTCCTATAAGGAAATCGGAAGAGATTGATTTGTACCCATACATTTTCTGATCTAACTTGGGGGAAAATGTTCCTATTCTGTTTTTTCTTTGTCTCTTTGAGGTGTTTTCTCTCATCATTTACTTACTCTTTAAATAATTTGTTTTATTCTCTCTTACAGTTCCCTTTTTTCTATAAGAAGCCAGGTTGTCTTTTCTTAAAGAAAAAAAAAAAAAAAAAGGAAGGAAAATCCTTTCCTCCAAGTCTAAACTATTCTTTCTTTTTTAATTCTGACACTTTTGTAAGACTAGCTCTGTAGTCATCACCTGTACTTGCTCACCACTTGCTCCATTATTCACCTAGTGTTTTCCACCCCGCATTTCACAGACATTGCCCTGTCAGAAGTTACAATGATCTCTTACTTACAAATCCTCAGGTTTATCAGCTTTCTTCTGTTAAAGTCTTTTTGGAGCAGTTTAACTCCTCTTGTTTTAGTGAGAGACTATATTTGTCTCTGATTTTTATGACATCTCTTGTGCTTATCCCCATTAATTAGGCATTTTTTTAAGGTTTTGACTTCTGCCCTTCTGTTTTTATACTCTGTACGTTACCTATGATCATTTTCTTTTATGACCATGTTTCATATCTGTCTCTGCTCCTTAACTCACTTCAACTCAGAGGTGTGTTTCCCATAGCCTGATAGACCTCTCCTTAGATTTCTGGCTATAATTCCAAACTAACTTTCCAATTTTAATTCAGCATTATACTTCTCCCGTCATCACCTGTTCCCTGGCTCCCCACACCACCATCACCACTACCACCACCACCACCACCACCAACAACAACCGGCACTTTTTATACCTGCCCTTACTGTATTTATTTTGAATACAGCACTGATATCGCTAATCTAGTTATTTTGTTTTCTGGACTAAATTTCTTCTTTCTGATTTTCCCAATTCTAAATGAGGCCGTCATCAAGTTTTGATTTAATCTAGTGGTCTGCTAATTAACTTAGTTCCATGCATCTCTCATTTTTAAATGCTATACTTGGCTTCATTCTTTTTGTTTTTAGATTAAAATCCAGCTTTTAGATTTCTGACAAATTTAGATCTGGGCATGAAGCCTTCCTTGAAAACCAGAGCAGCATCTATTCATTTCTAGTTATTCTCAAGTTCTTTTGCCTCACTTTTTAAGATTTATGACAGAATAATAGTCACTATTTATGGTAGCTGATGAGTATGGTTTAAGGGACTGTAAAAGTCAAGGAGAGAATGGTTTTTACAAATTGAAAAAAGTTATCTATTCAAAGAGGTTAGAATTAAAAAAGTTGCTTAAGTGGGGATGACTATATCTTTTCATTATTTAATTTCTGTAGGATTTTACATTATTATTATTATACTTCTCTTGGAAGTTATCTCATCCTTGGATTGTGTTCTGGTATTTTATGTGCCCCATTATTAAGTTGTTAGAATACATATTCCCACTTCTATAGAAGACTTGAAAACAACATTTATTTATTTATTTATTTATTTATTTATTTTTGAGACACAGTCTTGCTCTGTTGCCCAGACTGGAGTGCAGTGACGTGATTATGGCTCACTGCAACCTCAACTGCTGGGGCTCAGGTGATTCTCCCACTTCAGCCTCCCAAGTAGCTGGGACTGCAGGCATGGACCAGCACACCTGGCTAATTTTTCTATATTTTTGTAGAGACACGGTCTTGCCATTTTGCCCAGGCTGGGCTCGAACTCCTGAGCTCAAACAATCTGCCCACCTCAACCTCTCAGTGTTGAGATTACAGGCATGAGCCACCATGCCCGGCCAAAAACATCCTTTAAAGTCTACATCAAATAGGTTATTTATTTATTTATTTATTTAAAGAGACAGGTCTTGCTGTGTTACTCAGACTGGTTTCAAACTCCTGGCCACAAGGATCCTACCGCCTGGGTCTCCCAAAATGTTGGGATTACAGGTGTGAGCCACTGTGCTTGGCCTCAAGTAGTTCTTATCCATCTTTTTTACCACTGCCTTCCACGTCTTATGTACATAGTAGGTCATCAGTAAATGTTAGTTAACTGAAATTATTTCCCTTATGCCTGAGGTACTTTTCCTACTCATGGATTATAATCACTGTGACACAGATTGCTAAATGGCTGTGGGTAGATTGCATAATCTTTTAAATATCTTTGTCATGAAACTGGTAACGCCTTCTCTCAAAGGGTTAGGTTATCATTAGCTAGTAAAATGCTTTGAGGGAAGATGAAAAAGTTAAGGTTGAGGGTTATGATCATCCTATTAAGGGTGAATTGTTAGCATCAGGTTTGTAGGTAGAAGCTTTCCCAAAGCTTGAAGTTAATTAAATGGTGCTGAAGTAATTATTTTGTACCTGTTTACATCGTGGTTGCTTACTTTACTTAAATCCCTAGATTTCTTTGGAGGGAAGGAGTCTTTGGTAATCCTCTTTATTCTGAGGTCTCTGTCATAGAGCCAAATCAAGATTGAAACCCTCCCGTGACAAAAAAAGTAAATATACCAGTACATTGTAGCAGTTAGGATGATGTGCTTTGTATTATACTTGAAGTATGTTATATGCCAGAGGTCCTCAGACTTTTGTGTACTAAGAATCATTTGGAAGCCCTTGTTAAAAACGTTTCACCTCCAGAGATTCCAGTCCAGCAGGTTGTAATTTTTAATGAGTAATGCAGGTGATTTTTGATTCAGGTAGTATGTAAACAACAGTTTGAGAAATACTTCTGAATGGAATTGAAAGCCAGTAGAATATGCAAATGGCCAATAAATAAATGTGCAAAACTCACTTAAATTGATATTCAAGTAACTATATACTTGGATTATTTTAAAAATTCAAATATTTTACTACTTTTTTTTTTGTCTTCAGTTCAATGGTACATAGTACTTATTTCCAGAGTATGTTTGGGAAACTAGTACCTGCAGATATTCCATGAAAAAAGAGAGCTTGATCAAATAAGTTTGTGAAATGTTACATACTTTATTTCATCCTTAGAGATTTATTTTGCATGTTATCATAATACTCTTAGAAGTTTTGCAGCAAAAAGCCTTGGACCTCATCGTTTCCCAAACTTAATTCACCATGAGCCCTCCTTTCTTGCCCCTAATAATTTATATTAATAATTTGTGAACAAATTTCCAGAAATTTTGTTTGTTGTTTTTCCTTGTTATCATGGAATTTTAAAAAATAGGGTACGTTTTTGTAATTCAGGAGCTTAAAATCTTGCTAGAATTTCAAGACTTGGACATGACACTTTAAAGATGATAAATATATAATGCTAAGTTGAAATAATCAAGTGCCCAAATGTATAGTAGGGCTGCAACTAGTAGCAGGGATAAGCTTAATTTAGGCTAGATTCTTCAGGGAGATTTCATGAAGAAAAAAAAAAAAAGGGTCCTGAGATAGGTCTTGAAGATGAATGATCAAATTTGATTGGAAGGAGTAATGCTGGCCTGGGCTATCTAAATTGGTACAGTAGTTTATAGGTACTAGTTTCTGTATCACAGATACACTCTAGCTTAAAATACATGATGTTGCTTCCTCAGTGACTCCTTTTTTTTCGATAAACAATCATTTTATTACTTGAGTACGTAGACAAACTTATGCAACCAGGGCAGAGGCTGTGGATGACTCATGTTTCCAGTTGGGTGGGAGGATTTGCTTGGTCTTGTATTAATAATATTGAGCCAGTCGGTGAATTCATCTATCAGAATCAGATGGAATTTGGCATCCTTATCCTTTCTGTTCCTCTCAGCATGCTTTCGAATAGCAACTGCTTGCTTAATTAAACAGTAGAGATCCTCAGGGAGATCAGGCGCAAGTCTTTTGGACTTAAGGATTCTTAAGATTGTATTGCCTGTCACAAAAATATACTTGTGCAACACCATATGAGCCTCAGGATCACACTGATTTGTGAGGGAGGCAGACCCTTCTTGGTCAGTTTGTAAGTCTGCTCCTTCATGTCATCAGATGTCAGCTTCAGCCAAGTGGGAACCTTGCAGTGACAGGGCAGAGCCGATTGAGACAGGCCCTTCCCAGGAGTGCACATGCGACTCATGATGGTGGCAGTCAGGCGGTCCAGTGACTACGTCTTGAATATGTTATATAATAATGCTTTTCAAACTCTAATGTGCACATGAATCACCTGGGGATCTTTTAAAAATGGTTTCTGATTCAGTGGATCTGAGGGTGGAGCCTGAGATTCTACATTTCTAATGAGCTTCCAAATAGATCATGCCCATGTTGTTGGTTCACAGACCAGAATTGGAGTAAAGAATGTCTTGGATTAGTAATTCAGTTAGATGACCTTTAATGCACACTTTAACCTTGGGAGTCTGTAAATATACCAGGTTGGAGTGGATGAGCTAGTATAAAGAAAACTAAAGCTGGGCGTGGTGGCTCATGCTTGTAATCCCGGCGCTTTGTGGGGCCGAGGTGGGAGGATCTCTTTAGGTCAGGAGTTTGAGAACAGCCTGGCAATGAGACTCTGTCTCAAATAAAATAAAATAATAAAAATATAAAATAAAAAGTAAGAGGCCAGGCGTGGTGGCTCATGCTTCTAATCCCAGCACTTTCGGAGGCCGAGGCTGGCAGATCACGAGGTCAGGAGTTTGAGACCAGCCTGGCCAACACAGTGAAACGCTGTCTCTACTAAAAATACAAAAATTAGCTGGGCGTGGTGGCATGCACCTGTAATCCCAGCTACTTGGGAGGCTGAGGCAGGAGAATTGCTTGAACTGGGAGGTGGAAGTTGCAGTGAGCCGAGACCACTGTACCCCAGCCTGGGCGACAGAGCTAGACTCTGTCTCAAAAAAAAAAAAAAAAAAAAAAAGTAAGAAAACTGTATTAGAAATGAAAGGACTACTGGGCGCGGTGGCTCACACTTGTAATCCCAGTGCTTTGGGAGGCTGAGGCAGGCGGATCACAAGTTTGGGAGTTCAAGACCAGCCTGGCCAATATGGTGAAACCCGGTCTCTAGTAAAAATACAAAAATTAGCTGGGCGTGGTGGCATGTGCCTGTAGTCTCAGCTACTCAGGAGGCTGAAGCAGGATAATCGCTTGAACCCAGGAGGCGGAGCTTGCAGTGAGCTGAGATCATGCCACTGCACTCCAGCTTGGGTGAGAGAGCGAGACTCCATCTCAGAGAAAAAAAAGAAAAAAATGAAAGGACTAAATTTAAAAACACTCATTTGAGTATAGTATGGTGACTGACAAAGGATTGTTATAAGATTGAAGTATATCTTAAATGATTTTCCACCCTGTGCTGAATATAGTTTGGAAGTAGCTAGCTGGCTTTTCTTGGGAACTTAACCTAATAAGTGATGGTGTATTATAAAACTAATACACCATCTTAATTATATACATGCTCATATTTGAATTTCAATTATTTTTTCTTTTGTGCCTTTTAGTACCAGTGTGGCCTTGTGGCTTTTTTTTTTTTTTTTTTGAGATGGGGTCTTGCTCTTTCGCCCAGGCTTGGCGTGATCACAGCTCACTGCAGGCTTGACCTCCTGTGCTCAAGCGATCCTCCCACCTCACCCTCGCTGAGTAGCTGGGACCACTGGTGCATACCACTATGCCCAACTAATTATTATTATTCTTTTGCGACAGTTTCCCTCTTGTTGCCCAGGCTGGAGTGCAATGGCATGATCTCAGCTCACTGCAACCTCCGCCTCCCGGATTCAAGCAATTCTCCTGCCTCAGCCTCCCAAGTAGCTGGGATTACAAGCATGGGCCACCATGCCTGGCTAATTTTGTATTTTTAGTAGAGATGGGGTTTCACCATGTTGGTCAGGCTGGTCTCGAACTCCTGACCTCAGGTGATCCACCCGCCTCGGCCTTGCAAAGTGCTGGGATTACAGGCATGAGCCACTGCCCCTGACTTAACTAATTTTTATTTTTAAGTTTTTTGTAGAGATAAGGTCTCATTACGTTGCCCAGGCTAGTCTGGCACTCCTGGCCTCAAGCAGTCGTCCTGCCTTGACCTCTCAAAGTTTTGGGATTTCATGTGTGAGCCACTGTGCCTGGTCACAGATATTTCTATATGGTAGCATATTGAAAAGGATTATAGATACTTCTTGACAAAAAGAGTCAAACTCTGTAAAATATTTAAAGAGATTTATTCTGAGCCAAATATGAGCAGCCATGGACCAAGACACAGTCTCAAGAGGTCCTGAGAACATGTGCCCAAGGTGGTTGAGTTATAGCTTCATTGTATACATTTTAGGAAGACATATGACATCAATCAGTACGTGTGAGGTCTACATCAGTTCAGTCTGGAAAGACGGGAAAGATGGAGGGCTTACAACTGATAGGTGGATTCAAAGATTTTCTAATTGGCAATTTGTTGGAAGAGTTATTTTCTAAAAACCTGGAGTCAGTATAAAGGAGTGTCTGGGTTAAGATAAAGGGTTGTGGAGACCAAGATTCTTATTGCATAGATGCAGTGGCCTCCCTTAGAGACAATAGGTGGCAAATATTTTTTGTTCAGACCTTTAAAAGTTGCTGGGCGAGGTGTGGTGCCTCCCACCTATAATCCTAGCACTTTGAGAGGCTGAGGTGGGCGCATTGCTTGAGGCCAGGAGTTTGAAACCAGTCTAGGCAATATAGTGAGGTCCCATCTTAACAACAACAAAAAATTAGCTGGGCATGATGGCAGGTGCCTGTAGTCCCAGCTACTTGGGAGGCTGAAGCTAGAGGATTGCTTGAGTCCAGGAGGCAGAGGCTGCAGTGAGCCATGATCACATAGATTGAGACTCTGTCTCAAAAAAGAAAAGAGATTTAGGTATATATGTATGTGTATGTTTATATGTTTATATATTCCTTAGCTCTCTCTGCTGAGAGCACTTAATTGCAGTGACGCCTCAGTAACAGTGAGCACACGTAGTGCCCAGCTTTTGGTTTCTAAATACTATCATTGACTAAGAGGAACCAAGGCCCCTTGGAGAAATGCTAATCTAGGGCCAGAGAGGGAAAGTATAAAATAAGCCTACAGAATTCAGTTGTGCCAGAAAGTAAGGAAGTACTCAGAATGATGAGGATGTGTCAAAAGACACAGGAATTGCTTTGAAGGGGCTCACATTAGCTAAATCTCACATAATTTGAGCAACAAAATAAATAGAGTAGGAAATTATAATTTGTAGAATAAAATAAGAATCCATGATACTGATAAAAATATAAATGAATAAATGAATTTGGGGGGACAGGTTAAGCTCTCTGTTAAAATGCCAACTACAAATGTAGAAGGAATGATGGAATTAGATAATCACTATCTTTGTGGTATTTGATAATGGCAAGAGTAGTCAATGAATACTAAGGCTGGTTGGTAGAGATTTGATGAGGAACAGGATATTGGTGAATTATCAAAATAATCCCCCATAATGTATACATCAAATACAAAGGAAAACATAGTTACTTTACAGTGAAGAAACCTGGCAGACACCAGGTTGACCAAGTGATGAGGGTTAACATCCCTAGGGATGGGAAGGATAGGTATAGTATGCACAGCATCATTTCTGTATATTCTTTTTAAGAATATGTGGCCTGAATCTGATTATTAGGAACATCAGCTGGGCCCAGATTGAGGGTCATCCTAGAGAATGAAAGGCCTGTACTTTTTAATTTTTTTTGAGACGGAGTCTCGCTCTGTCACCCAGTCTGGAGTGCAGTGGTTGCTCACTGCAACCTCCACCTCCTGGGTTTGAGTGATTCTTGTGCTTCAGCCTCCCGAGTAGCTGGGATTATAGGCATGTACCACCACACCTGGCTTTTTAAAAAAATATTTTTAGTGGAAATGGGTTCACCAGGCTTGTCTGGAACTCCTGACCTCAGGTGATCTGCCCCGCCTTGGCCTCCCAAAGTGTTGGGATTACATGCATGAGCCACTGCACCTGGCTCGCCTGTACTCTTGACCGTCAAAGACATGAAAGATAGGGAAAGAAGGAAAGACTGATTGAGGGAGACTGAGGAGGTCCATTAACTAAATGCAATATGTGTTTCTGTTTAGGATCCTGCACCTGAAAGAGAGGCATTGTTGGGACATTTGGTGAAATTTGAATATGTCTGTGGTTTGACTCTGTATTATACCAATGTTCATTTCCTGATTGGGGGGTTGTATGGTGGTAATGTAGCAAAGTGCCCTTGTTTTGGGAGGTACATACTGGAGTATTTAGGAGGGTCTGAGGGATTGTGTCATACAAAAAAGATATATATCACACCAAACGTTTAAGAACACACGCCCTTTCTTGAACATTTTTCAAAATAAAAACAAGAAACAACATATTTTTCTGATTATAAATGTAATCTTTCTTGTTTTTATATTTACAGATTATACATTTTGCTATATTTGTAGTATAATTCAGTAAAATTTATTGGTTGACGAAATGCTTGATTATCCAAGAATATTAATAATTCTTTTTTTTTTTTTGAGACAAAGTCTTGCTCTGTCATCCAGGCTGGAGTGCACTGGCATGATCTCGGCTCACGGCAGCCTCCGCCTCCTGGGTTCAAGCGATTCTCTTGCTTCAGCCTCCCAAGCAAGTAGCTGGAATTACAGGTGCCTGCCACCACACCCAGCTAATTTTTTTTTTTTTTTTTTGGTAGAGGCGGGGTTTCACCATGTTGGCCAGTCTGGTCTTGAACTCCTGACCTCAAGTGATCGCCCACCTCGGCCACCCAAAGTGCTGGGATTACAGGAGTGAGCCACTGCCTGGCCCCTAGTATTAACAATTCTATTTATCTTAATAGGAATAATAAATACATTTTTAACATTGTCTTTCAGAAAGTTGAAGTTGATGGTAGTTTAAGTGATAGCCACGTATCTCCTCCAGCCAAACGCACTTTGAAACAACCTGATTCTGTTTGCAAAGACAAATCAAAATCACGAAGTACTGGTCAGCGAGAGGAATGGAACTTATCAACTGGACAGGCCAGGTGAGAAAGGAGAACTCATTGATTGTTTTTTCTTAAATTACTGAATGTGATTCAGGGCTGATATTAATGCTAATTTTCTTAGCTTATAAAATAAGTATCTTGTAAATACTTATAAGTAAATTGTATTAAACTTATTTTATAATTTTTGTATGTAAGTTTATTTTCTATATTTGTTTTATAAAGATACATGGTATGTAATAGAAATTACCATAAGTAAAACAATAAGGATTTTGATGACTCTTGAGTATGCATATGTGTTTATAGTCCTGAAAATTTAAATAAAACATATGGTCAGAGTTATATTTTTATTTGAAAATAAAATCTCCCTTTTTAAAGATTATTATTTCACTTGAATTGATATACTAAGATATAATGACATTTAAATTAATTTTAAAAGACATCTTTTCATCTATTATCCTGTTTTTAACTTAAATTTGCTTTGTGTCTGGTTCAGTATGTATCAAGAAAACTTAATTTTAGTCAGTTTCATAGTAAATTACCGACATTTACTCTGAAACTGACTAAAATTAAGTTTAATTTACTCCCAAATGGTAGTAATGGTTAGGCACACACATAGAAAAGATTTAAACATTGAAATCAGAATCTTTAACTTCTATTTTATGCAAGTCTTTATTTTTATTTTTTCTAATTAAAAACAATTTTTTTTTACATGGGTCTGGGAACTAAAGGGTTCTTTAAACTCTTTAAAGTAGAAGTGCTGATGATGTGTGACTGAACAGAAGTAAAAGGGAAGTCCTTTGTTTTTATTCTTCAAGCATTTAAAAATATTTTGATTTTATATGTGTAGGTAAATTCTGGATACTTTTATTCTCTAGTGAAAAAAATATTTGGGGTTATATAGACTTTGACAGGCTGCGTACATTTATTAGTCCCTAAGGGGTCTCTGTACTTACTAAAATATGCTCCATAAGATGTACCAGTTTATTTTATGTTTTTGTAATTTGCATTATATGGGGCTAAGTAGAAAAATACATGAATCATAGTCTGTTGATTTTTATTTTTCTTTCCCACACCCATACATCTGTGAGATGAAACAGGTCTGGATCATTATGATGATGTTACTTTAGTACTGCCATGTAATTACATTAACTTTTAGACTTGATCTACCTGTTATAATCTCTATCCTTCATTTATTAAATGAGTGAATCAAATATCTTCTAGATAAATATTCCTAACAATGTTCTTTTAGTGTTAAAATTGGGCTTTTAAGATGATTTTAACAGTTTATTCAAGTGCAAGTAATATACTAGATTTCTCTTATTTTATCCACCCAGCAGGCCTTTATGTAAATTGATCTTGATATTTCTTTTCTTTCTTTCTTTTTTTTTTTTGAGATGGAGTTTTGCTGGAGTGCAATGGCGCTATCTTTGCTTACTGCAACCTCTGTCTCCCAGGTTCAAGTGATTCTCCTGCCTCAGTCTCCCGAGTATTTGGGATTACAGGCATGCGCCACCACGCCCAGCTAATTTTGTATTTTTTGTAGAGACAGGGTTTCTCCATGTTGGTCAGGCTGGTCTTGAACTCTGGACCTCAGGTGATCCACCCGCCTCGACCTCCCAAAGTGCTGGGATTACAGGCACGAGCCACCGTGCCTGGCCGATATTTCATATAGAAGTCTTTCATATAAAAAGGCCTCAAAAATTTTGGGAGAGCATATGAAAGATATGCTTCCATTTAGGAATCATTTAGGTACCGTAGAGTGAGATATTTCTTTAAAAAAATCCTAGATGCATTTTGAGTAAAAAACTGAACTAATGAATACTAATACATTTACTGTTTCTGTTTTGGCAAAAGGACAATGTTTAGTAACTCACACAATTTAAAAAGATTTTTGAGGCCAGGCATGTGGCTCATGCCTGTAATCCCAGAACTTTGGGAGGCCAAGGCAGGAGGATTGCTTGAGCCCAGGAGTTCAAGAACAGCCTGGGCAACATAGTGAGACCTCATCTCTGTGAAATACTAAAAAATTAGCTTCAGGCACATGCTTGTAGTCCGATCTACTCGAAAGGCTAAGGCTGGAGGATGCCATGATCCTAGCAGTTTGAGGCTACAGTGAGCTGTGATCACGCCATCGCACTCCATCCCGGGTGGCAGAGTGAGACCTGTCTTCGTAAAAAAAAAAAAAAAAAAGTTTTTTTTTTTTTTAGTTTATTCATCTAGGAGTCTGAGTAACTGTTAAACTTTTAGAATTAAAATCTTTTGATGTTTCAGATGACCTGAAAATAAAATGCAATTTGACCTATTAGATTCAATAGAATTTAATTTTAAGGAAAACTTGTAGTTAAAAATATTTTAGATTTTGAGATAATATAAGTACAAAAAATTAAGAATTACTTGAAGGCTTGTATTTGTTTTTATGTCATGAACCTGAGAATCTTGATTCCTTTATTTTGGTAATCTAAACTCTTATGAGCATCTAAGGTAAACTTATTGAAGTCCTTTCACAAAAAATAATTTGTTAGAAATAATAATTCATATGGAGGAAAATTGAATACAGATAAGAATTAGTATTAGCTATGAAAAATAATGAATTCTAAAGAACTTTGCAAAGACCACTAAGGTCGTTAAATAAATTACTGTTAATTGGCAAAATAAATTTCCATTTTAGAGTTAGGTAATTGGATGAAGATAGAGATAAAAGTGGACCTAGAACTTCTGAATCTTCCTAAGTGATTTGAGATAGATTATGAGTTTTCTTTTGGGGTGAAACCTGGGTTTAAAGGCCCAAGTGTATCAACAGAATTTTAATGATTGATACTTTTAGTAAAATAGGATGTTTTTGGTCAAAAATATTTTTTAATATATAGTTTTTATATTGTATATAGAAATTCCCAAATATACATACTAATATAGATAGATGTTGTAGCTTACAAATACTGTGAGTACAGATGCTATTTTATTGACTTTTTTGGTCAGCGGATATTTATTTAGCTACTAGTCATTTATTTAACCTGATATATATCTAGAATAATACGCATACTCTAAGATACAGACAAATTGAAATTTTCATAAGACTTACTGTACACTTGGCTGGGTGTGGTGGCTCACGCCTGTAATTCCAGCACTTTGGGAGGCCAAGGGTGGTGGATCACTTGAGGCCAGGAGTTGGAGACCAGTCTGGCCAACATGGTGAAATCCCATTTCTACTAAAAATACAAAAATTAGCTAAGCAAGGCGGCGCGTGCCTGTACCCAGCTAGTTGGGAGGCTGAGGCACGAGAATTGCTTGAACCTGGGAGACAGAGGTTGCAGTTAGCTGAGATCGTACCACTGCACTCTAGCCTGGATGACAGAGTGAGACTCTGTCTTAAAAAAAAAAAAAAAAGAAAAGAAAAAACCGGGCGCAGTGGCTCACGCCTGTAATCCCAGCACTTTGGGAGGCCGAGGCGGGCGGATCACGAGGTCAGGAGATAGAGACCATCCTGGCTAACACGGTGAAACCCCGTCTCTACTAAAAAATACAAAAAATTAGCCAGGCGTGGTGGCGGGTGCCTGTAGTTCCAGCTACTCAGGAGGCTGAGGCAGGAGAATGGCGTGAACCAGGGAGGCGGGGCTTGCAATGAGCCAAGATCGCGCCACTGCACTCCAGCCTGGGCCACAGAGCGAGACTCCGTCTCAAGAAAAAGAAAAAAAAGATTTATTGTGTACTGAAATGTAGCATGCTTGAAAGTTTCCTTTTGTGGTTAGGTAATGAGGAAGTAGTGAGGTGAGGCAGAAGTATAACCACCTATGTGGACTGCTGAGGCATATTAGAATTGAGGAGTGGTAGTGGTTAAGTGACGTCTGTCAGAACTTGGGCTTTTTTGAATTGAGGTTTATAACCCTCATAAATCATTAAATGCCTTGAGTTTATATGGGAAAGGGAGAATAAGTATGATTTTTAAGTCTGATATTGCAATAGCGTGTGCCCCAGATAATTAAAGCTGTAGAAAGTTCTAACGTAATAATCACCTAATGCAAAGTGAAACTGGTTCCATTTAAAAATTCAGGAAACAGGGTTAGGTGCAGCGGCTCACGCCTGTAATCCCAGCACTTTGGGAGTCTGAGGTGGGGGTCGGGGCGGGGGGGTATCATCTGAGGTCAGGAGTTGGAGACCAGCCTGGCCAACATAGTGAAACCCTGTCTACACTAAAAATACAAAAATTAGCCAGGTGTGGTGGTGCACGCCTGTACTGCTTGGGAGGCTGAGGCATGAGAATTGCTTGAATCCAGGAGGCGGAGGTTGCAGTGAGCCAAGATAGAGCCACTGCACTCCACCGTGGGCGACAGAGTGAGGCTCTGTCCCCTCAAAAAATAATAAATAATAAATAAAAATTCAGGAAACGATACAGGGAAAAAAATCTCCAACCCACCTTCCTTCTTTTCAAAAAATAGCTACCCACTCAATTTAAGTGAACAACTTTTGAGAACATTCATATAATACAGAAACTTTTAGGCATATACGTTTAAGCAGGCTAACCCTTACAAAATCTCAGTGTAGGCTGGGCGTGGTGGCTTACGCCTGTAATCTTAGCAATTTGGGAGGCCAAGGCGGGTGGATCACCTGAGGTCAGGAGTTCAAGATCAGCCTGGCCAACATGGTGAAACCCTGTCTCTACTAAAATACAAAAATTAGCTGGGCATGATGGCGGGTGCCTGTAATCCCAGCTACTCGGGAGGCTGAGATGAGAGAATCACTTGAACCCGGGAGATGGTGGTTGCAGTGAGCCAAGATCGCACCACTGCACTCCAGCCTGGGTGGCTGAGCAAGACTCCACCTCAAAAAAAAAAAAAAAAAATCTCAGTATATTAAATCTTTTAATATACTCATGTATTTCATGTCGTGTCTCCTTTTTCAGTCTCCCTTTTATAAAGATGATGATGACAATAATCTATGACTATAAGGTCATTGGATCAATTGAAGAACAAGTTTTTAAAGATTTTTTCTTAAAACAGATCTTTCATTAGTAATAAAAGCCAAGTAAGCATTGTCTTCTTTAGAGCAGACAAAAAGCTTATTGTGCTTTTTTCCCCAATGATGTTACCATTGTTCTGAAAAGTTTTAGATTTCTTTTGTGGAATGACTTTAGGGTCTGCATCTTATTCTTTTGAACAATTCAAGTGATGTGAAATTCCAACCATTTGGCTTTGTATATAGTCAGAATTCATTTGGTGCCAAGACTTGTGAATAAACTGATCAAGCTGAGTTAATGCTTTGTTGGGTCTAAAGACAAAGTATATTTATGAAGTAATAAAGTTGGTTTTTCTGTGTGGTTTTAAGTGGATTTTGAGAGTGATTCTTAAGAATTCCAGGAATGCATTGTGTAATGACAACGTTGTAAGAATACCTGTATTACATCCATTTAGTTACTTTATAGTCACACTCATATACCTGGAGAATCATGTGCATTGTATACAGTGGTGCTAAAAATGAAATTTTCTCCAAGATAGTATATTAGGTAAAGGTATTTTTTTTGTTGTTTTCTAGAGGAAAGGCGGGGGGGCTAGATTTTTGTTGTTATTTTTTTGACAATCTGAAGATGCGTAGTAGTATGAGGGTTTTTTTTGTTTTGTTTTTTGTTATTTATTATTTATTTTTTGTTTTTAGACGGAGTCTCGCTCTGTCACCCAGGCTGGAGTGCAGTGGCGCGATCTCGGCTCACTGTAAGCTCCACCTCCCAGGTTCACGCCATTCTCCTGCCTCAGCCTCCCGAGTAGCTGGGACTGCAGGTGCCTGCCACCACGCCTGGCTGATTTTTTTGTATTTTTAGTAGAGATGGGGTTTCACCGTGTTAGCCAGGATGGTCTCGATCTCCTGACCTCGTAATCTGCCCGCCTCGGCCTCCCAAAGTGTTGGGATTACAGGCATGAGCCACCGCGCCCAGCCTGTTTTTTGTTTTTTAGATGGAGCCTTGCTCTGTCACCTGGGCTGGAGTGCAGTGATGTGATGTCCACTCACTACAACATCTGCCTCCTGGGTTCAAGCAATTCTCCTGCCTCAGCCTCCCGAGTAGCTGGGATTGCAGGTGCCCGCCACCACGCCCAGCAATTTTTGTATTTTTGGTAGAGACGGGGTTTCACCATGTTGGCCAGGCTGGTCTCGAACTCCTGACCTCAGGTGATCCACCTGCCTCGGCCTCTCAAAGTGCTGGGATTATAGGCGTGAGCCATCGCGCCTGGCTTGAGTTTTTGTTTATACCCTTTAGTCGTCTTAACTGTGACCTTTGCTGGGCCAGGGGTATTGTGATGTACAATATATTTATAATTTAACTTGAAGAGTACTGGAGTAACCAAAAATGTTAGATTATTTTAATTAAAAATTTGTGCAAACCACATAGAAGGCAGTCATAGGGGCTGGGCGCGGTGGCTTACGCCTGTAATCCCAGCACTTTGGGAGGCCGAGGTGGGCAGATCACCTGAGGTCAGGGGTTTGAGACCAGCCTGACCAACATGGTGAAACCCCATCTGTACTAAGAATACAAAAATTAGCCGGACATGGTGGCACGTGCCTGTAATTCCAGCTACTTGGGAGGCTGAGGCAGGAGAATCACTTGAGCCTGGGAGACGGAGGTAGCAGTAAGCCGAGATCGCGCCACTGTACTCCAGCCTGGGCGACAGAGCAAGACTCTGTCTTGTGGGGAGAAAAAAAGGAAGGCAGTCATACATATTTGTGATTTTCTGGATGTCCTTTCCCTAGTTTTTTAATCTTCGAAACTAATAATTGTTGGATATTTCAAAAATATCTTAGTTTGCATTGACAACTCTTTTATTATGCAGCAATTTAGTTTTTACTTTTGAACTTTCTGACTGTACTAAGAAGTATGGTGACTTTTTCCTAGTCCTCATGTTTTGATGGCCTTTTTAGTAACTTTCCAGTGATTTACATTTCTCTTCTTCCACCCAAAAGAGAGAATTGTAAAATGGCTCTTTCGATAAATCAGCTGTTTGATTTGTCAGATTAAATGTGTAATAAAATACTTTGAAGAAATTATTAAATGATATTGGTATTCAAGCACTTTTTTCTTACTGTTTATTGTGTTAATAAATTTATCATTGTTTGAATTTTATTTCATCAACCAAAACCAATAGGTAATGCCTGTGACCCCTGCTACTCATGGTCTCAGTTAATTTTATGGTATATATTAAGCTTAAGCCTTTTTTTTGGGTTTTGATTTGTAGAGTTGATGGCAGAGTAAACTTAGTGTATAATCTGTTATTAAAGCTTTTCTTGAAGTAATGAAATGGCTTTTAACTAGCTAGTATATTTTATTAATTGACATATTACCAATCTTACAGTAAAAAAAGTTATCTTTACTTTTAAAAAAGTTTTAAAGATTAAAATAATTCCAGCAGTATTTCATTTCTTGCTTATATAAGCAAATGTTGATGTGTTTGCATATTAAATATTATTGTGTTCTAGGTTAACTTCTCAGCCTGGTGCTACATTACCAAATGGACATAGTGGCTTATGTGAGTATTCTATTATAAAACTGGTTAGTTTTAAAATTCTTACAATGTTAGAGAAAGCAGTAAAGTGGGGAAAAATAGAGTGATTTAATAGTGTGCTGAGCATACAGTTGGAAATGGCTGAATTTCAGTCATAGTAAAAAAAGTATGTAATTGTTAAACTTTGAGAAATCAGCATACCTGAAATTTAAATTATTTATGACAGATTGTAAAATTTATAGAAATTTTAGATTATTGACTATTAAAGCCATTTAAAAAGTTATATTAAATTTTTTGTAGTCTTTTAAAAGTAATTTTTTGATTTTTTTTTTCTTTTCTGTCTTTCTGTATTCTGTACTTTGAAATGTAAATATCTCTCTTCTTGTAGCCCTTCGAAGCCATCCCCTTCGAGGGGAAAAGAAGGGAGATGGGGACCTTTCTTGTATAAATGGTGACATGGAAGTCAGAAAAAGTTGTCGTTCCAGGAAAAACAGATTTGAAAGTGTGAACCAGAGTTTGTTATTTGATCAACTAGTAAATAGGTATGAATGCCAAGTATTAAGCAGTTTCATTTAATTATTTGGTTTTTAAGACAGTTACGTTTTAAAAAAATAACATAAGCAACGACTTAGCAATCAATACAGTTCTTTAAAAACTTAACTTGAAGCTGGGTGTGGTGGGTCAGTTCAACATTTTGAATTGAAGATGTTTTGAGACTGAGTATGTGGGATTGAGTCTCTTAGCTAGTCAGTGAGCTGACTATCCGTTCAACGTCTGCATCTGTAAAACTTTACTCTTCTCAGATAATATGTCATCCTACTTAATCTTTACAATAGCCTGGAGAGGGTGGTCAGTACAATCGCTATTTGACAAGAGAGGAAATTATATTCTACAGTGATAACATCAAATTTGGGCTTAAGTTACTATTAAAACTTAAGTATTGTTCAGTATCTAGATGCATAGTTAATGTTATCTAAGTATTTGTTTAAAATATAAAATAAAAATTGCTAAGATAGCCAAGTGTGGTGGCTGGAGACTGTAGTCATAGCTGCTCAGGAGGCTAAAGTGGGAAGATCCTGTGCCCGGGAGTTCAAGACCAGTCACGGCAGCATAGTGAGACCTCAATCCCTCGCCCAGGCTGGAGTGCAGTGACGCGATCTTGGCTCACTGCAACATCTGCCTCCCAGGTTCAAATGATTCTCCTGCCTCAGCCTTCCGAGCAGCTGGGACTATAGGCGCGTGCCACCATGCCCGACTAATTTTTTGTATTTTTAGTAAAGACGGGGTTTCACCAGGTCTTGATCTCCAGACCTTGTGATCTGCCTGCCTTGGCCTCCCAAAGTGCTGGGATTACAGGCATGAGCCACCGTGCCCAGCACCCCATCTCTTAAAAAAAATTGCTAAGACGTTAGCATGTATTTCTTTTTCCCTTTTTTTTTTTTTGAGATGGAGTCTCGCTCTGTCACCCAGGCTGGAGTGCAGTGGCGTGATCTCGGCTCACTGCAAGCTCTGCCTCCTCAGTTCATGCCATTCTCATGCCTCAGCCTCCCAAGTAGCCGGGACTACAGGTGTCCGTCACCATGCCTGGCTAATTTTTTGTATTTTTAGTAGAGATGGGGTTTCACCGTGTTAGCCAGGATGGTCTCTATCTCCTGACCTCGTGATCCGCCTGCCTCTGCCTCCCAAAGTGCTAGGATTACAGGCGTGAGCCACCGCTCCCGGCCTAGCATGTATTTCCTGAATGTCAGTGTTCTACTTGAATTTCTAAAAGAGTCTTTCCAGTAAACCTTATATTGGCTTTAAACTTTTTACAAATTGTTTTATTTTATACAATTACTTATTTTTATACAAATAAAGATAAAATAATTTTATACAATTATTTTGTACAAGTTATTCTTAATACCATCTTCAATAAAAAGATTGAATTTGTATTTTTTCAGTGTCATGTATCTGATAATTATTCATAGAGGCATTATATATTTTTTATTGGGAACTTATTAACAAAAGCCTTATATTTAAAAAGTTTTATTTTAATGTATATATTAAGGTAGAAGATATCCTGGTTTTGCTTTTCTTATTGGGCACTGTATTCTGTTGATGGATGCTGGTTATGAAAGAGGTATTTAATTGGGATATGGTGGGGCGCATCACTGTAATTGCAGCACTTTGGGAGGCTGAGATGAATGAATCGCTTGAGCCCAGGAGTTCAAGAACAGCCTGGGCAACATGGTGAAACCCCATCTCCACAAAAAAATATAAAAGTTAGCTGGGCATGGTAGTGCATGCCTGTAGTCTCAGATACTCGGGAGGCTGAGGTGGGAGGATCACTTGAGCCCAGGAGGTTGAGGCTGCAGTGAGCCATGAACAGGCCACTGCACTCCAGCCTGGGTGACAGAGGGACACTCTATCTAAAAAAAACAAAAAAGAAAAAAAAGTTGTGTGTAGTTACACATCAGAGATGATTTGATTACACTTTCACAAAGAGCTCTTTTATGTATATGGTGCCACCATTGTCTAAATCCTGATTTTATTATGTGATTGTAGCACTGCTGAAGCTGTACTACAGGAAATGGACAACATTAACATCCGACGGAATCGTCGATCAGGAGAAGTAGAACGACTTCGAATGTGGACAGATACAGAATTTGTGAGTATATTAGCTGTAGCAATCTTTGTAAATATTTTTCATTTTAATTGAGGAATTTAAAGGGAGAATGCAACAGTTGGATGTTTTTGAATTAGCATGAGTGTTCCTTCGTCTTCATTTCCAACTTAGTTTGGGATTTTATTGCTTGCTTGTTTCTTTTCTTCATTCTCCTCTTGCTACAACCTTTCCAAGAAGACCCTCTTCACTTTTGCTGGATGAGTCACCTTAAAGTGCAACTGTGATTCTGTTATTCTTCTGATTTGAACCATTAATGGTTTTTTGTTGTGCACTGAAGATTAAAAACACCTTGATGTTGATGATCTGGCTTCAACTTTGTTTTCTCACACACCATTGCCTAAGTGTAAACAAATCATTCTTATTCCTATAACTTTTACTCTTGTTAATATTTCTAGTTAGTGACTGATGCAGTTCTACCTTTGTTTCAAGGTTCATTTCAGATACTGCCTCTCTTCCCTTTACCCCATAACAAAAGGAGGGTCTTCTCTTTGAATTCTGGAGTACTTTGTACCTCTCTTTATGACATTTAACTTATTTTACTTTCTTTTATAATTACCTGTGATTGTCTTATTTCCCTCCTACTAGGCTGTAATTTGCTTGAGGGAGAAAGTATGTTGCTGGCATTATGTGTTTTACATTTTTATAAGTTTATTGTAAGTGTTTTCCCTTTTATTTCTTACATTTATTGAATTTAGGAAGCTCCATTTTCACGAATCTATGGCACGCAAATAGGTGCTCAATAAATTTTGTTGAGCAGGTATGTCCCATTGGGTTGTTTTTTTGTAGTGGAGAATAAATGTCATGTTGCTATTTGACAGATTTCTTTCTTTAAAAGGAAAACATGGATATGTATTCAAGAGTGAAAAGGCGAAGAAAGTCACTAAGAAGAAATAGTTATGGGATACAAAATCATCATGAAGTTTCTACTGAGGGTGAAGAAGAAGGTTTGTAAAGCACTTTTTGGAATTCTAGAAAGTTCAGGTGGGAGGGAAGAAAAATAAAATATACAAGTAATATATGTAGAATGTTGCTGAGTAGTTGGTTTTTGGATTTTGAGGTCTATATTGTATAATTTGAAATAATTTAAATTCAGTTGGCAATCTGAGTTTCATTTCCTTCATTTGGAAAAATACTTTTAAGTGCACATTATACATTATGTAATGTATTTTATTAGTAGCCATTGGTAGTCCTTCAGTGATCTGGTATGGGATTTACTTTGGGCTCATTTGCTTCTTAGATGAGGCCTTTTTTGTACTTAGGCACCTTCTAACTGGATAGTTACTTTGCTATCCGTGGCCTCTAAATCTCTGATTATGTGGATCTCAAATTTAGGTATGGTCTGAGGAATAAAGAGTAAAGTTTAGAGAGAGACTTCTAATACCAGTGGAAAGGGACTATACTGTTCTTTTCTGAGGCATTTGTGGGTTCTGAACTGAAGAACCCAGACTGACCTTGTAGGGCCAGAGTTGGGAACATGACAGCAGCACATTGGCCCCATGAATTATAAATTGATGAACAGTACACCTATAGGATTTAATTCTGTAGGCATTAATCTTTTTTTTTTGAGACAGAGTCTTGTTCTTGTTGCCCAGGCTGGAGTACAGTGGCGCAATCTTGGCTCACTGCAACCTCCGCCTCCTGGGTTCAAGCGATTCTCCTGCCTCAGCCTTTCGAGTACCTAGTATTACAGGCGTGCACCACCATGTCTGGCTAATTTTTGTATTTTTAGTAGAGAGGGGTTTTTGCCTTGTTGGCCAGGCTTGTGTTGAACTCCTGACCTCTGGTGATCCACCCGCTTCGGCCTCCCAAAGTGCTAGCATTACAGGCGTGAGCCACTGCACCCGGCCTGGCATTAATCTTTATTGAAATGGATTTTCAGAAGATTCAGAAGATTGTAAATGCAGATTAGTAGTACTTATAGGGGAATCTTACTAGTTCCCATTATTTGTGTAGTTTAGATTGAGAAGACTATGTTTTTTAAAAATTCTGTAGTTAATATTTTATTAGTCAATTTTGAAGAGGTGATATTTCTAATGAAGGTACTTTATTGAGCAAATATTATTGTTGTTACAGCTAGAACCTCTAAATTGCTTCCTTTGGAGAAAATCAGTATAGGTGAGACAGATTTATAATGCGATTCTTGCCTTTTCATTAACTGAACATCTTTGTAGAGTTTCCAAAGTAGATATGCCATATTTAGAAATTCTGCTTGTAATACTGTGTTACTGTACAGACATTTTTCAAAAAGTAATGTTTTGGATATTTAGATAACTTATTTAGGTACAAGTATTTTATAGTATTATTTAGATAAATACTGTATTTGTTGATTTTTCTCTACAACCTAACGATAAAAATTTTTCAAATAATGCTTTCTGATGTCATGAGTAAAATATAAAGTCCTTGGCAGGTTTTTTTTTTTTTTTTTTTTTGAGACAGTTTTTCACTCTGTCACCCAGGCTGGAGCACATTGTCACAATCACAGTTCACTGCAGCCTTGACCTCCCAGGCTCAAGCGATCCTCCCATGTCAGCCTCCTGAGTAGCTGGGACCATAAGCACATGCCATCATGCTCGGCTAAATCTTTTGTAATTTTTGTAGAGATGGGGTCTCAATATGTTTGTTGCCCAGGCTGGTCTTGATCTCGTGAGCTCAAATAGTCTTCCTGCCTCAGCCTCCCAAAGTGCTGGGTTTATAGGCGTAAGCCACCATGTCCAGCCCTTTGCAGTTTTAGTCTTCTACTTCCCTAAGTATCACTGCCAGCTTTATATTTTTTTCTATGCTTTAATATGATTGTGTTGTATTGACAGTTCTTGTGGTTAAAAAGTTACATATTGCATTTGGGCGTTCATATGCTTACTAATTTTCATCAGATCTTTTTTTTTTTGTTGTTGTTGTTGTTGAGATGGAGTCTCGCTCTGTTGCCCAGGCTGGAGTGCAGTGGTGCAGTCTCGGCTCACTGCAAGCTCCGCCTCCTGGGTTCATGCCATTCTCCTGCCTCAGCCTCCCGAGTAGCTGGGACTACAGGCACCCGCCACCATGCCTGGCTATTTTTTTTTGTATTTTTTGTAGAGATGGGGTTTCACTGTGTTAGCCAGGATGGTCTCGATCTCCTGACCTCGTGATCCTCCCACCTTGGCCTCCCAAAGTGCTGGGATTATAGGCATGAGCCACTGCGCCTGGCCTTTTTTTTTTTTTTTTTTTTTTTTAAATAGAGGCTGGGTGTGGTGGCTCACCCCTATAATTCCAGCACTTTCGGAGGCTGAGGCGGGTGGATCACTTGAGATCAGGCGTTTGAGGCCAGGCTGGCCAACATAGTGAAACCCTGTCTCTACCAACAATACAAAAATTAGCCGGGCATTGTGGTGCACGCCTGTAATCGCAGCTACTCGGGAGGCTGAGATATGAGAATCGCCTGAACCCGAGAGGCAGAGGTTTCAGTGAGCCAAGATCATGCACTCCAGCCTGGGTGACAGTGAGATTCTGTTTCAAAAAAAATAAAAATAAAAAAAAAATAGAGATGGAATCTTGCTATGTTGCCCCAGGCTGAACTCAAACTTCTGGGCTCAAGCCATCCTCCCGCCTTAGCCTCCTAAGTATTTGGGACTAGAGGCAGGTGCCTCTGCGTCCAGCTAGACTCTTATTTTAACTGTACTTAGATGTTATAGCTATTGCCAAATCATTTTTAAAAAATAATATTTTGGCTCACGCCTGTAATCCCAGCACTTTGGGAGGCCTAGGTGGGCAGATTGCCTGAAGTCAGGAGTTCAAGACCAGCTTGGTCAATGTGGTGAAACCCCGTCTCTACTGAAAATACAAAATTAGCCAAGCATGGTGATACATGCTTGTAGTCCCAGCTACTCAGGAGGCTGAGGCAGGCGAATCGCCTGAGCCTGGGAGGCAGAGGTCGCAGTGAGCTGAGATCGCGCCATTGCACTCCAGTCTGGGCAACAAGAGCAAAACTCCATCTCAAAAAAAAAGAAAAACCTTTTAGGATTTATGTACATTATAATTTATTTTTTAAGTGTATACAGTTTAAAAAATGAATTATAGCTGGGCGCGGTGGCTCACGCCTATAATCCCAGCACATTGGGAGGCCGAGGGGGGTTGATCACCAGGTCTGGAGTTCGAGACCATCTTGGCCAATATGGTGAAACCCCATCTCTACTAAAAATACAAAAAATGAGCCGGGCGTGGTGGCACGTGCCTGTAGTCCCAGCTACTCGGGAGGCTGAGGCAGGAGAATTGCTTGAATCTAGGAGTCAGAGGTTGCAGTGAAGCCCAGATCACGCCACTGTACTCCAGCCTGGCGACAGAGACTCTGTGTCAAAAAAAAAAAAAAAAAAAAAAAGAATTGATCACTCATGTCAAGAAATAAACTATTACCAATACCCTAGAAGTCTGTTTCATGCTCCCTCTCAATGCTTATGTGCACTTTGCTACCAAAATGTAACTAATCCATGCTTAACTGTGGTCAACAGGCCTAACAAATCATTACACTGCCAACAAAAGTTGCTCTTGCTGTAACATTAGTAATTACCTATAAGCATATTTTTTTGAATTATCAAGTGGTATTTGAATACTAATCTTATTTAGTGGTTAATTGAGCATTGATTGAAGTTTGCTGTAGTTGGGTAAAATTTTAAGTCTGTTTTCTATTATTGCATTGTATGAACAAGGAGAATCAAAGTTCCTAAGTAAATCAAGAGATAAAATATGATCATATTAATTTATTTAGCAGATAATTGTATTGATCATTGGCAGGGAAAGTATTTTCTTTTACATCCATTTAGGTTGATTTTTAATTATGTATGCTTTACGTAATATGTTGGCACTTAAATGTCACCTGTGCAGAAAGAGTAATGGATAAAGTGTAAATATTCAGTTCTAGAGTAGACCAATCCTTTTGAATTAAAATAATGCCTTTTTCTTTTCTTTTTGTGTGTGGGAAACTAGAATCTCAAGAGGAGGATGGAGATATAGAAGTTGAAGAGGCAGAAGGAGAAGAAAATGATAGACCATATAATTTGAGACAGAGAAAAACAGTGGATCGATACCAAGCACCTCCAATAGGTAGGCAACTCTAAATAACTTTTTTCTTTCTGGTAGTTGAGTAACTTATTCTGCCCCACTGCTTTTTTTTTTTTTTGAGACAGAGTCTCGCTCCATCGCCCAGGCTGGAGTGCAGTGGTGCGATCCCAGTTCACTGCAAGCTGTGCCTCCTGGGTTTATGCCATTCTCCTGCTTCAGCCTCCCGAGTAGCTGGGACTACAGGTGCCCGCCACCATGAGGTCAGGAGCTCGAGACCATCCTGGCTAACATGGTGAAACCCCATCTCTACTAAAAATGCCCTACTGCTTTTAAAAAAATTAATATTGCCAAATTTAAAAGAAGGCAATCTCTTATAGGTTTTATGTACTGTATTTTTTTTTACTACATATACTTCTGTGCACACACATGCAACTGAAAGAAAGTCAAAGTACATGGTAGCAGCATTGATTTACATACAGCATGTACATTTTATTTATAGAAGCTTGTGTTTAATAATATGGCTCATGCTTTTGCATTACACTGTATAGTTTACTGAGCACTTTACTTTAATTTATAGCAGTTCTTTAGGGAAAGTATCTCTCTCTCTCTTTTTTTTTTTTTTTTTAAAAACAGAGTCTGCAGTCACCCAGACTGGAGTACAGTGGCATTATCTCAGTGCACTGCAGCCTCTGCCTCCTGGGTTCAAGCAATTCTCCTGCCTCAGCCTCCTGAGTAGCTGGGATTACAGGTGCCCGCAACCACATCTGGCTAATTTTTATATTTTTTTCAGTAGAGACAGGGTTTCACCATGCTGGCCAGGCTGGTCTCGAACTCCTGACCTCAGGTGATTGGCCCACCTTGGCCTCCCAAAGTGCTGGAATTACAGGTGTGAGCCACTGTGCACGGCCTAGGGAGAGTATCTTTATGGTCCAAGAGGTTAAGTGACTTACCCGAGGTCACAAAAATAGTATACGGCTGCAGCTTGGCCAATAACTTAGTTGTTTTCTTTTTTTCTTTTTCTTTTTTTGCTGGCAGAAGGAAAAAGTTAAAAGTTTATCTTTTAGAGAAGGGATCTCACTATGTTGTTCATGGTGCAGTGTAATGGCTGTTCAGAAGCACAAATATAATACACTACAGCCTCAAACTCCTGAGCTCAAGCTATCCTCCTACCTCAATTCCTTGTATAGCTAGAACTACAGGTGTACAACCACCATGCCTAGCTAATTAATTTTTTTTGTAGAAACAGGATCTTGCTGTGTTGCCGAGGCTGGTCTTGAACTCCTGGCCTGAAGGGATTCTCCTGCCTTGGCCTTCCAAAGCACTGTGATGTCTTGAACCTCTGCATCCAGCTGTGTATTCCTTTTTTTTTTTCTTTTGCTGAATAGCATTCTGTGGTGTGGATATATCACAATTTGTTTATCCATTCATTTGTTATGTGACATTATGATCCTTTCCAGTTTTTGGTTATTACAAATAAAGTTGTGATGAACATTCACATGTAGGTCTTTGTGTGGACATATGTTTTTGTATTTCTAACAAATACCAAGGAGTAGAAAGGCTGGGTTTTATGATGAGATATAAGAAGTTACCAAACTCTTTTTTAAAGTGGTTATACCATTTTCACTAAGAGTGTATGAGAGCTGTAGTTGCTCTGTATTCTTGCCAACAATTGGTATACTCAGATTAATTAATTAATTTTAACAGGTATTTATTATAGTTTTAGTTTACATTTCCCTAATGGTGTTGGAGCATCTTTTCATTTGTTTTTCTTTTTGACAGTGTTAAATCTTGGGTAAAATGTCTGTTCAGATCTCTGGCCATTTTTTCAATTGGGTTGTTTGTTTTCTTATTATTGAGTTTTGAGATTCCTTATATGTTCTGGATATTAGACCTTTAACAGATATGTCATTTGCAAATATTTTTAAGACAAGACAGTCTGTTGCTTGTCTTTTTTATTCTCTCAATAGTATCTTTTGAAGAGCAGAAGTTTATTATTTTATTTTATTTTATTTTATTTATTTTGAGATGGAGTCTTGCTCTGTCGCCCAGGCTGGAGTGCAGTGGCATGATCTCGGCTTACTGCAAGCTCCGCCTCCCAGGTTCATGCCATTCTCCTGCCTCAGCCTCCCGAGTAGCTGGGACTACAGGCGCCTGCCACCACGCCTGGCTAATTTTTTTGTGTTTTTAGTAGAGACAGGGTTTCTTCGTGTTAGCCAGGATGGTCTCGATCTCCTGACCTCATGATCCGCCCGCCTCAGCCTCCCAAAGTCCTGGGATTACAGGCGTGAGCCACTGCACCTGGCCTATTTATTCATTTTTTGAGACAGAGTCTCACTCTGTTGCCCAGGCTGGAATGCAGTGGTGCAGTCTTGGCTCACTGCAGCCTCCGCCTCCTGGGTTCAAGCGATTCTCCTGCCTCAGCCTCCCAAGTAGCTGGGACTACAGGCATGCGCTACCACACCTGGCTAATTTTTGTATTTTTAGTAGAGATGGGGTTTCAGCATGTTGGCCAGGCTGATCTCGAACTCTTGTCCTTAGGTGATCCACACATGTTGGCCTCCTAAAGTGCTGGGATTACAGACCTGAGCCACCATGCCTGGCCCATTTGTAATTTTAATGAACTCCAATTTATACATTTTGCTTTTTTTTTTTTTTTTTTTTTTTTTCTTTGGAGATAGGGTCATCCAGGCTGGAGTGCATTGGTGCGAACATGGCTCACTGCATTCTTCTGCTTCAGCCTGCTGAGGTGCATGTCACCATACTTGGCTAATTAAAAAAAAATTTTTTTGTAAAGTTGGGTTCTTTTTTTCTTTTTCTTTTTTTTTGAGATAGTCTCATTCTGTCACCCAGGCTGGAGTGCAGTGGTGCTGTTGGCTCACTGCAGCTTCTACCGCCCTGGTTCAAGTGATTCTCCTGCCTCAGCCTCCCAAGTAGCTGGGATTAACCGTGCCTGGCTAATTTTTGTATTTTTATTACAGATGGGGTTTCACGATCTTGGCCAGGCTGGTCTTGAACTCCTGACCTCTCGTGATCCACCCGCCTTAGCCTCCCAAAGTGCTGGGATTACAAGTTGTGAGCCACAGTGCCCGGCCCGCCCTTCCTTCCCTCCCCTCCCCTCCCTTCCCCTGCCCTCCCCTCCCTTCCCCTCCCCTCCCCTTCCCTCCCCTTCCCTCCCCTTCCCTTCCCTTCCCTTCCTTCTTGCTCTGTCACCTAGGCTGGAGTGCAGTGGCATGATCTCAGCTCACTGCAACCTCTGCCTCCTGGAATCAAGTGATTCTCCTGCCTCAGCCTCTTAAGTAGCTGGGATTACAGGCGCATGCCACCATGCCTGGCTAATTTTTGTATATACATATTTTTTAATAGAGATGGGGTTTCACCATGTTGGTCAGGCTGGCTCGAACTCCTGACCTTAAGTGATCCACTGCGCCTCAAACTAGAGTTGGGTTCTTACCGCGTTGCCTAGGATGGTCTGGAACTCCTGGGCTCAAAGCAGTCCTTTGACTTGGCCTTCCAAAGTCCCGGGACCCTGCCCAGCCTGTAAAAAAAAATTTTAATGGATTGTTCTTTGAATGGATTGTGCTAAATTTCTTTCTTTCTTTTTTTTTTTTTTTTTGAGATGGAGTTTCGCTCTTCTTGCCCAGGCTGGAGTTCAGTGGCACGATCTTGGCTCACTGCAACCTCCGCCTCCTAGGTTCAAGCGATTCTTCTGCCTCAGCCTCCCGAGTAGCTGGGATTACAGGCATGCACCACCACGCCCGGCTAATTTTGTGTTTTTAGTAGAGACAGGGTTTCTCCATGTTGGTCAGGCTGGTCTTGAACTCCTGACCTCAGGTGATCCACCTGCCTCGGCCTCCCAAAGTGCTGGGATTACAGGTGTGAGCCATTGCACCCAGCTAAAATTTTTTTTAATGGATCATGTATCTAAGAAATCTCATAGTCTCAAAGATTAAGTTAACATCTGTTTAGAATGTTTATTTGCAACTTTATAGTATTGCCACAAAATTTTTATTTTCATTTTGCTTCTAGACAGCATTTGGTACTTGAAAACACATGACTAGGTTTTATTTAAAAAGTTAACAGGGGCCGGGCACAGTGGCTCACGCCTGTAATCCCAGTAATTTGGGAGGCCTAGGCGGGCGGCTCATGAGGTCAGGAGTTTGAGATCAGCCTAGCCCACATGGTGAAACCCCGTCTCTACCAAAAATACAAATATTAGCTGGGCGTGGTGGCTGGCGCCTGTAATCCCAGCTACTCAGGAGGCTGAGGCAGGAGAATTGCTTGAATCTGTGAGGCAGAGTTTGCAGTGAGCCGAGATCGCGCCACTGCACTCCAGTTTGGGCGACAGAGTGAGACTCTGTATCAAAAAAAAAAAGAAAAAAAAGTTAACAGGGCTGGGCCCGGTGGCTCATGCCTGTAATCCCAGCACTTTGGGAGGCCGAGGTGGGCGGATGATGAGGTCAGGAGATCGAGACCATCCTGGCCAACATGGTGAAACCCTGTCTCTACTAAAAATACAAAAATTAGCTGGGCGTGGTGGCACCCGCATGTAGTCCCAGCTACTTGGGAGGCTGAGGTAGGAGAATCGCTCGAACTTAGGAGGGAGAGGTTGCAGTGAGCCGAGATCGCGCCACTGCATTCCAGCCTGGCGTTAGAGCAAGACTCTGTCTCAAAAAACAACAACAACAAAAAAGTGAGCAGAAGTCATTTCTACTCCTTTAATACATTAATTTATCAATTTATTAGTTATTTCTCTATTATCCTTTTCTTCCCTTTTAGTACCAGCTCATCAAAAAAAGAGGGAAAACACGCTGTTTGATATTCATAGATCTCCAGCAAGAAGAAGCCATATTAGGTAAGGTTTGTTTTTGAAAGGAAACATTTGCATTTGTCAATGAGAGACTAATTGTGTCTTTCTTTCTTTAATTAGTGACTAACAGTTGTCATCCTATTTAGCTACTATTATCTTCCAGATTCAGTTTGCCTGGAATATTTGTTGTTTTAACAGTTACATTCACTAAAGCTACACAGCTCTTTGGTCTCTTAGCAGAGTTGAATCTAAGGTGACCCATATTGCTTTCATTTGAAGCACTGATTCGAGTTAATCTGTGATATTTTTCCCCCTAATTATGCTTTCTTTTACATGTAGGTACAAAGGAAGGTTTTACTTTTTTTTTTGAGACGGAGTCTCACTTTGTCCCTCAGGCTGGAGGCTGGAGTGCAGTGGCGCAGTCTCGGCTCACTGCAACCTTTTCTCCTGGGTTCAAGCAATTCTCCTGCCTCAGCCTCCCGAGTAGCTGGGATTACAGGTGTGCGCCACCATGCCCAGCTAATTTTCATATTTTTAGTAGAGATAGAATTTCACCATGTTGGCCAGGATGGTCTCAAACTCCTGACCTTGTGAACCCCCTGCCTTGGCCTCTCAAAGTGTTGGGATTACAGGCGTGAGTCATGGCGCCCGACCAGTTTCTACTTTTAAAAGTTTATTTTTTATTCCCTAAAGCTACACAGCTCTTTGGTCTCTTAGCAGAGTTGAATCTAAATGACCCACATTGGTTTCATTTGAAGCATCCATTCAAGTTAATCTTTGATACTTTTTCCCCCTGATTATCCTTTTTTTTTTTTTTTGAGATGGAATCTCGCTCTGTCACCCAGGCTGGAGTGCAGTGGGGCAATCTTGGGTCGCTGCAAGCTCCACCTCCTGGGTTCACGCCATTCTCCTGCCTCAGCCTTCCGAGTAGCTGGGAGTACAGGCATTCGCCACCACACCTGGCTATTTTTTTGTATTTTTAGTAGAGATGGGATTTCACCGTGTTAGCCAGGATGGTCTCGATCTCCTGACCTCCTGATCCGCCTGCCTTGGCCTCCCAAAGTGCTGGCATTGCAGTCGTGAGCCACCACACCCGGCCCTAATTATCCTTTCTTTTACATGTAGAAGAAAGTAGAAACAAAGGAAAGTTTCTACTTTTAAAAGTTTATTTTTTTTTTTTGAGACAGGGTCTTGCTCTGTCACCTAGGCGTGCTATGATCATGGCTCATTGCAGCCTCAGCCTCCTGGACTCAAACAATCCTCCCACCTCAGCCTCCCGAGTAGCTGGGACTACAGGCACACGGCACTATTTTCAGCTAATTTTTATATTGTTTGTAGAGATAGGGTTTTGCCACGTTGCCCAGACTGGTCTTGAACTCCTGGGCTCAAGTGATCCCAAAGTGCTGGGATTACAGGCATGAGCTACTGTGCCCAGCCAAGCTTTTAATTTTTATGAAGTTCAAGTTACTTGTTTTTTATTTTGTGCTTATGCTTTTACTGTTATATCTTAGAATCCATTGCCAACTCAGAGGTCATGAAGATTTGTTCCTATGGTTTCCTCTAATAGTTTATAGTTTTAGCTGTTATGTTTAGGTCTTTGATTTACTTAATTTTTGTATATGGTTTGAGTTTGTTTTGTATAGTTTTGTATACTCTTTGGCTTTTAAGCTCTTTTCTTTTTTTTTTTGGGATGGAGCCTTCCCTGGTCGCCAAGGCTGGAGTGCAGTGACGTGATCTCGGCTCACTGCAACCTCCGCCTCCTTGGTTGAAGCAATTCTCCTGGCTCAGCCTCCCCACTAGCTGGGGTTACAGGCATACACCACCATGCCAGGCTAATTTTTGTATTTTTAGTAGATACTGGGTTTCACCATGTTGGTCAGGCTGGTCTCGAACTTCTGACCTCAAGTGATCTGCCTGCCTCAGCCTCCCAAAGTGCTGGGATTCCAGGCATGAGCCACCATGCCCAGCCCCAACTAGGATTTTGGCTTTTCAGTTATTTACTGGGAAATTATGTATACCACTATTTTTGTTGTATTATTGTTATTTGTATCACACCTAAAAATGTTACAGATCTAACAATACATTGTTGGCATTATTACTTTATATGATTTAATGGCTTTTACTGAAGCTACGAGAAGAAACATTAGCAAGTACAGTTGGTCCTCTTGAGCTACAGGTTCTGCATCTGTGAATGCAACCAACCACACCTCGAAAATATTTGAGAAAAAACCCCAACAATACAACAACAAAAAATACAGCTTGATGACTATTTATATAGCATGTGTTGTATTAGGTATTATAATTAATTTAGAGATGATTTAAAGTATACAGGAGGTAACTCTTACGTTAAGTCTTTGATAAATTTTCAAAAAAAGTGTGTGGGAGGATGTGTGTAGGCCATATGCAATGTGCAAACACTATACTATTTTTATGTAAGGGACTTAAGCATACTTGAATTTTGGTATTCGCAAGGGTCCTGGAA